>NC_000003.12:132947998-133099513 GCF_000001405.40 Homo sapiens | reverse complement strand
GTAGAAAAGAAAAACCCATTTTTTTGAGAAGAAATTCAAGCTGGCTGCCAGAATTTGCATAAGTAGCAAGGAGCCTAATGTTAATCCCCAAGACCACGGGGAAAATGTCTCCAGACCATGTCAGAGACCTTCACGGCAGCCCCTCCCATCACAGGCCTGGAAGCCCAGGAGGAAAAAGTGGTTTTGTGGGTCAGGCCCAGGGTCCCCATGCTGCGTGCAGCCTAGGAACTTGGTGACCTGTGTCTCAGCTGCTCCAGCCATGGCTGAAAGGAGCCAACGCAGAACTCAGGCTGTGGCTTCAGAGGGTGGATTCCCTAAGCCTTGGCAGCTTCCATGTGGTGTTGAGCCTGCAGGTGCACTGAAGTCAAGAATTAAGGTTTGGGAACCTCTGCCTAGATTTCAGAAGATGAATGGAAACGCCTAAATGCTCAGGCAAAAGTTTGCTGCAGGGGTGGGGCCCTCATGGAGAACCTTTGCTACGGCAGTGCTGAAGGGAAATGTGGGGTCACAGCCCCCACACAGAGTCCCTACTGTAGGCAGTGACCTAGTGGAGCTGTGAGAAGAGGGCCACCATCCTCCAGACCCCAGAATGGTAGATCCACTGACAGCTTGCACTGTGTGCCTGGAAAAGCCGCACTCAACGCCAGCCCGTGAAAGCATCCAGGAGGCAGGCTGTACCCTGCAAAGCCACAGAAGCAGAGCTGCCCAAGACCATGGGAACCCACCTTTTGCATCAGCGAGACCTGGAGTCAAAGGAGATCGTTTTGGAGCTTTAAAATTTGACTGCCCCACTGGATTTCAGACTTGCATGGACCCTGTAACCCCTTTGTTTTGGCCAATTTCTCCCATTTGGAATGGCTATATTTACCCAATACCTGTACCCCCATTGTATCTAGGAAGTAACTAGCCTGCTTTTGATTTTACAGGCTCATAGGTAGAAGGGACTTGCCTTGTCTCAGATGAGACTTTGGACTGTGGACTTTTGGGTTAATGCTGAAATGAGTTAAGACTTTGGGGGACTGTTCGGAAGGCATAATTGGTTTTGAAATGTGAGGCCATGAGATTTAGAGGGGCCAAGGGCAAAATGATATGGTTTGACTGTGTCCCCACCCACATCTGAACTTGAATTTTGTCTCCCAGAATTCCCATGTGTTGTGGGAGGGACCCCGGGTGAGGTAATTGAGTCAAGGGGGCCGGACTTTCTTGAATTATTCTCATGACAGTGAATAAGTCTCACAAGATCTGATTGGTTTATCTGGGGTTTCCACTTTTGCTTCTTCCTCATTTTTCTCTTGCCGCTGCCATGTAAGAAGTGCCTTTTGCCTCCCACCATGTTTCTGAGGCCTCCCCAGCCATGTGAAACTGTAAGTCCATTTAAACCTCTTTTTGTTCCCAGTTTTGGGTATGCCTTTATCAGCAGTGTGAAAAAGAACTAATACAAGCTGCTACACCTGTCCTCTTTTGGATTTAGGTAATGTATCCTATTGGTGAGTATCCATCCAGGCTGAGCAATTCTCATTTTTGTAATACCGCCTCACAAGGCAGCCCTTCTCTTTCCTTGATTTACTAGGCCTTTCTCAGACTGAACCAAACTGAAACTTAGAAGGCTGAGGTGTAAAACCTAAAGCAAATTTTCCTACATTTTGCATTCTACTGTTAGTTCTTCATGTAAAGTGATGGAGGAGTGTATTGCAGGATCCACATAGACAGTAATGGGTTATAATGGGCCACATAGTTCTTTACTAATAGACCTCATCCTCAAAAGTAACAGTAAACCACATTTCTATGTCTCTCTGGATAAAAATTAAACCAAGCCAAACTACAAATGAATTCTACATGAAAGTCTAACATTCAGACAGTAGAACAATAAAATAGGTAGTAGTCAATATAACAGATATTACTATAATAACAGATAATTTTCTAATGTTATCCTTTCAAATGCCATTAATGTTATTTTTCTAGTTCCTTCAAAAATGATAGTCTGTGGGGTTAGGGAGTGATGAACATGCAGAGAATCTGTAACTGTAAATCAACTTATAGGCTGGGAAACGTGCCCAGGTTGGGTTATTATCAACAACTCCTTTGTGCCAGTACTTAATGACACAGAACCACAATGAATGCATTCTGGAATTACCACAGGAAGAACATTAAAACATTAGAAAGCAGTTATGTTTTCATCACCAGACATCTAAGCCATGAAAAATCTACTTCTTTTTGTCTACTCCTTAAATCCCAAGTATACTTGAAATTCATTAACCTCCAAAGAACATTAAGATTTTTCTTTGAATAAAAGGTGTTTAAATTGATTCTTTAAATACCAAACACCACAGATGCAGAGATATTAACCTTGAGTAGACTGCTTATCTAAGCACACTGCATTCTGGAAACAGATTAAAGACTGCTGTTTCTACAATGACCCAGGTCATGGCCTCTACAGAACTTAACAACATTATTTGGAATGGCCAATCTAACCATGTTTTAGTCCTTCCCGTGACATGCAAGGGTGCGGACAGAAGAGAAAAGAAGTAGGAGATAGTTGTGGTACTAACACAGACAACTGGCTCTCTTCTGCCAGGACACCAAGACATTTCCTCTTGGGGCCAACTGCTCAAGTTAACTGTTGCCCTGGTTCCTTGGCTGTCATATTTGTAAAACTCCATTCTCTCAAAGTAAATCATTTATTCAGTGTCAGTTCACCCACAGTCTTCTGTTGCGTATTATACCAAATTATTTAGATATACTTGGTCTTCTAGAATATGAGAAACATAATCCACAGAAAACTGCACAGTGACTGAAATAAAAGATCAAGCACCCACAAAACAAGGCTTACAGAATCGGCTTTGCTCTTTACCATCTGTCATCTATTTTAATACATATTATAGGAAAGGCACAGTGCATGGTGGTAGGGGAGGCAGAGGCGTCAGCATTGTGTGTTTGGATGAGGTGAGGCCATTCAGCATATAATCTGAAGAGACAAGAAAGCCTGTGCTGATCAATTAGTAGAGACATCCTATGAGTCTCTCTCATCTCCATGTCTCACTTTAAAATACCACAACTACTGAGCACAATGGCTCACAGTTGTAATCCCAGCACCTTGGGAGGCCAAGGCAGGATTGCTTGAGGTGAGGAGTTTGAGACCAGCCTGGGCAACATGGCAAGACCCCATCTCTACAAAAATTTTTTAAAAATTAGCTGCATGTGGTCGTGCATGCCTGTAGTCCTAGCTACTTGGGAGGCTGAAGTGGGAGGATCATTTGCACCCAGGAATTCAAGGCTGCAGTGAGCCATGATTGTGCCACTGCACTCCAGCCTGAGTGACAGAGTGAGACCCTGTCTGTAAAAACCAAACAAAAACCACCACTGCATCCTCAGGAGTGAATACAGGTGAGCCTTTGAACACTGCCCACCTGTGCTATACGAATATTCTGTCTAAGACATCAAGATGACCCAATTATCATTTTTTAGGAGAGCCTCAGTCTTTTTCCTTGAGTGCAGCTTACAGATTGATGGTCCACACAGCAAAAATTAAAACGCTGCTGTTGAATGGAAAGAATATTTGCGAGGCAACAAAGAGATGGCAGCTGTCAACTTTGCCACAATTATTAAGTGTTCTATGGCAGGGGTCCCAAACCCCTAGGCCATGGACTGATACTGGTCTGTGGACAGCCAGGAACTGGGCCACACAGTAGGAGGTGAGCATCGGGTGAGCGAACAAGCAAAACTTCATCTGTACTTACAGCTGCTCCCCATCACTCTCATTATCACCTGAGCTCCACCGCCTGTCGGATCAGTGGCAACATTAGATTCTCATAGAAGCACAAACCCTATTGTGAATTGTGCATGCAAGGGATCTAGGTTGCATCCTCCTTATGAGAATCTAATGCCTGATGATCTGTCACTGTCTCCCATCAACCCCAGATGAGACCATCTAGTTGCAGAAAAACAAGCTCAGGGCTCCCACCAAGTCTACATGATGGTGAGTTATATAACTATAATATTTCATTATATATTACAATGTAACAATAATAGAAATAAAGTACACAATACATGTAATGTGCTTGAATCATCGTGAAACCATCCACCCCTCAAGTCCATGGAAAAGCTGTCTTCCATGAAACCAGTTCCTGGTGCCAAAAAGGCTGGGGCTTGCTGTACTATGGAGAATTTTTGTTTTGCATTATAAATTAAAAGTTAATACATGTAACTTGGACAAGCTTTCTACACAGGCTGAGACCATCACCTTTGGTAGATGGAACCTCCCCATCCCTGACTACATCCACACATCTCATAATCCTCTTATACTCCATTATGTGAACTAAAGAGTCATCTCTTTGGATCTGCTATTAAGACACAAATTTTTAAGCAGCAACGTATCAGTATATCAGCCATTAACAATCTCTTCATTAATTAACCAGAAATTAAGAAGCTAGTTATCTAAAGAGGGCCTAAGGGAATGATAAGAAAAACAGAACTTTGAGGGTCTACTAGTGAATGGCATAGTACTGAGTGGGAATACAATTAATTAATTCACTTAGTCACTTACTAACTCCCCACTCATTCATTTGTTCACTCATTCAACAAATATACCAGGCATTGGGATACAAATTAAACCCTCAGAGGAACTACAATCCAGTAGAGGAAATATTTGTATCCACAAAAGAGGAAGTAATAAATACCCTGAATTAAAAAAAAACAAGATAAAGTGTTATGGAAGTTAGTAGGTGGAAGAGATTAAGGCTAGATGAGGGGATCTATGTGGCTTAATGGAGAAGCCATTTAACCTGCGTGTTGAAGGATGGCTAGAATACAAACAAGACAAGTGGAAAAGGTGGCTGAGAAACTGCTAACTATCCCTGCAAGGGGCCAGGCCAGCAGTGGCAGCAGAAGAAGTCTACTGGGTGCCATATGCTGGCGATATGGAGGGAGCGAGAACAAATGATGAGGTGTGCAGAAAGGGACAAGAGACAAGAAAGTTCCACAAACAAACAGCATGTCTTGTTTTATCGGTATGCCTGGGGCCAGGCATGTATTTATTTATGCGTCAGGTCTTACTCTTCTGAAAGTATAATTTTGTGATTCTTGAAGATTCTGTGACCTAAGTCCTCATTTTTTAGAAGAGAAAACAGAGGGATTTGCTAACTTATCCAAGGCCACGGGGCTGGTAAGGGGTTGATCTGAAACTACAGTTGAGTAGCCCTGAAATGAATGAATCTAGTATTCCTTCCATTTGTATCAAGGGTTATCAACCTGGTCAGCAGCATCTCGTGTGTGTGGGGGGGGTGGGGGGTGGGGTGGGAGGTGGGAAGGGGAGAAAGAAAGAATGACTCACATTGAGGTTCATCAGAAGGGACACAGGTACTGAGAGGGTTAAGAAACAGACCTGCATATCTTCACACCATGAGAGGAATTTCCTTTGGAAACAAGGACTAAACCGGAAACTTTGGCTATAATATTACTATCTATACAACAGCTGACCTATTAACTGTAACAACTCAAGTTCCTCAGGCCTTGTTAATCTACCCAGGTGTCTGCTTCACATGTCAACACACCTAACTGTCATGACTGATGTTATAAATGCAAGTGGCAGGTTCCTAGGTGGCCGGGGGTTGAATAAGCAGAAAAGTTGCAGCCATCCACAAAGACATCATTTGTGCTTTCAATGAATGAAAACCATCTCTACTTATAGCTAGATTTCTAATTCAGAAAGATATACTGACCTAACAGTAAAAATGAAATATCAAGAAAGGCATAAAAATGTTTTAAAGCAACATTAAATGTTGGAGCCTTCTGTCCATCTCCGTCCCCATCAGAATTAAGTTTCTTCCACCCAGTAAGTCATATTAATTCCCCATAATTCCAGACCACTCAGAGCAGTTTTGAGCTGATAGACTGTCTACAAGTCACAGAAGTGAGAATATTGCCAAGCATTTTAGATCTGATGTAATGCTTCTATTTTTATGGAAGATGGAACTAGCCCAGAGAAATACAGTGACTTGGCCAAGACCATATACATAACAAAGATGGAGAACCAGTCCTAGAAGCAAATCTTCCTCTGGACTTTCTGTTTGCACACCTCAGGCCTGAGGAACAA
This sequence comes from Homo sapiens, assembly GCF_000001405.40. NCBI lineage: Eukaryota > Metazoa > Chordata > Mammalia > Primates > Hominidae > Homo > Homo sapiens. Next base: position 133,093,422 of record NC_000003.12, on the reverse strand, counting down.
GCCAGGTGGGAGGAAGCTCCTACTGCCCTTACCAAGAGTGTGGTGTCCCAAGAGTTCTAACTGCAAACAGCATCAGTTCCAGCTCCCCACCCAAGTGGGACTTCAGTTCTAACTTTTCAAATCCTTACCTATGACCGGGCGCGGTGGCTCACGCCTGTAATCCCAGCACTTTGGGAGGCCAAGGCAGGTGGATTGCTTGAGGTCAGGAGTTCGAGACCAGCCTGGCCAACATGGTGAAACCTCGTCTCTACTAAAAATACAAAAAATTAGCCAGATGTGGTGGCACACTCCTGTAGCCCTAGCTACTCAAGAGGCTGAAACAGGAGAATCACTTGAACCCAGGAGGCAGAGGTTGCAGTGAGCCAAGATCGCACCACTGCACTCAAGCCTGGGTGACAGAGTAAGACTCCATCTCAAAAAAAAAAAAAAAAACTTTACCTACATATATAAAATATGGGATTTGTGTTTTCCTCTCAAGCCACAGACATGGCAGAGGAACTTTTTCAGCTATGACTAAGTGAACTATTTTAGATGATTACACAGCTTTGTTCTGTTTCCTTCTACTTAAATCGGCTCTTCACTTTTAAATACTTGATGCCTCTATGAATGAATGTATTATAATATAAATATAGCTTCAAGGAACACTGAATACAATGAATTAGAAGCTATGGACATGTCCCACAATAGGCAATGGTTAAGGAGTTATGTTCACTTAATGGAAAATGATTTTGCTGCTATTAACATTATCAAGACTATACCATGAATTAGGAAAATATTTTAGGATTTAATCTTAAGTGAAAAAAATCTGAGTTACAATACAGAGTACAACCTACGATCACACTACGTAAAAACCATGTCTTCTAAAAACAGGGTTAAAAATCAAAGTAATAATAATGGCCATTGTGTCAGCTGTAAAGTTACAAGGAATAAAAAAAATTCTAAAAGTCTAAAAGTGAGTTATTATAATATTTTAACATGCTTAAAACTGTCCAACTAAAAAATTATAAATTTAAAATTTGACAGAAAGAAAACTTTTAAATATGACTTGGGTAAAAGAGGTTAGGAGAAAATATTAGACCCTGGAGTTTGGGAAACACTGGAGATGTTTCACATCACTCTGGGTATACCAACTAATCAATGTAGAAGAAAGTTCTAGACATCTGCTATCTTTTACATAGCTGGTTCCTTGTCAGGCTGTATCTGGAATGAAGTTGACTTCTATGTATTACTAAACTGTTTATAAAATCAAGGCTCAAATGATGGGTTGTTTCCTCTTGACTACCATCTCTACCATTTCAATAGGTATCAGAGAAGAGTGCCTCAGTTTAGCAGAAGAGGAAAAGCTGTCGTCTTCCTCCCAAGACATGCCTTGCAATTTGGAAGCTCCAAGTACTACTGAAGTCATCATACTTTATAGACTCAGCATCTTATTAGACAGGGACAAACTAGTTGATGATTAGCAAGAGTAGATACCAAATAATGCGTTTTCTCTGAGAGGCTCAAAACAATCATGATACATTCATGCTCTTATGCTACCATGATGGTTTGGGTTTTGTTTTTTTTTTATAAGAAGTCTCTCAAATCAGAGAAATATTTCTTCATCAGTTCATTTTCTGCCTTTAGTCAAAGCCTAATCAAATGAGGCTGGGAGAGGCAATACTTTACATTTCTCTACTGCCTCTTCTAGCCTCGTTTGATTAGGTTTTGCCTAATGGCAGAAAAATGAACTTGATAACCTCTCACAGTCTTCCCTAGGCCAAAGTATTTGAATAAGTAGCTGGTGAATAAGTAGAGTGGTATTTAACTTCTTTAATGACAAATGCAAAGTTTTCAAGTATGATACTAATTAATTTGTAAATTCCTGATAAGAAAAATTATCCCACCCATCACATGGTTTCCTTAGCAGCTTACTAAACCATATTATGCATCATAATCAATAAATGTCAGGGGAAGAATAAATAAGAAACAGAAAGTTATGACAGATGTGCATTAAGTAGACATAAAAGCCACTGATCTAGTCAACAAGTCCATAAGAATAGCTGTCCCTTGGCCTGGTTTGTGGTTAGTTACAATCTATTATTGCCCCATAATTCACACTCACTGGGGAAGCCTACCTGAACAGAAGATCCCTGTAAAGAGGATCTAGAGTACAGAAAAAGCCAGGACAATAATAAATACAAGTAACAAATATATGGAAAAGTTCAATTTCTCAGGTAATCAAAGATATACAAATTAAAATAAGATACCATGTTTTATCTAAGAATCTAGGAAATATTTTTAACAGTAACAGTGTCAGTAGACTACATTGAAATAGATACTCTCATGTACTTCTACAGGAATTACAAATTGGAATCAGCTTTTTGGAAGTATTCTGGCAATGTTTATTAAAAATGTATATATTTAACCCAATAGTTTTACTTACAGTGATTTACCCTAAAAATTCACAAATATTAATCTAATGTGCAAGGATGATCATCACTTTTATAAAAGTAAAAAACAGCAGATAACTATCATTTAACAAAAGCAGTATGTTAATAAATTCTGGGAGCTCCATATAATAGAATACTTTCAAGTTCTCTAAGAATATTTAGTGACATAGTAAATTATAAGATGTGTGAAAATGTAAGATATATGTCCTTAAATTCAGTATGATCTTAATTTTATAAAATAAAAATATATCCCTATATGCATGTAAATTATACCGGAAGGAAAAACTCCAAACTGCTAACCAATGAGTTTCTGTGGATGCTGACTGCATGGGAGATTGCCCCACTCTTAAAAATGCGCCTTTGAAATTTCTTACGATAATTCTTAAGAGAATGGTAGTGCATTGACTTCTCAAGCTTTACTTGGCAATATATGAATATATTATTTCTTTATAGTAATGCGAAATGACTTACTGATGCTTACTGATGGCTTTGTCCCAAAAGTGTCTGCCTACAGCTGAGATGGGAAAGAATCCTAAAGATACAAGGGCCTCACGCCCCTATTACTTAATCCCAACAATACAGCAGCTATGTAATAGTTCCCTTTTAAATTAAATGGGAGGAAAAAGACTCCTGAAGAATTGTTATGTTTATCAAGCAATAAGAATGACATCACTGCCTTGAAATGCCAGAGAGTTCAAGAAATGCTCCCTGATGACCTTTTGCTTGGTTCCAGGTGTTTTGTATGAAAGATTTCAGGGAAGTTTTTTGTTTCGTTTTAATGGGAAAGACTACAGATCCTACAGTGACAATCTACATGTTTTTAAAACAATGATCTCTCTCTCAGGTAATGATTCATTTTGTACTTAGGCACTGGCCACAAAGTTTCCAGGGTTTCAGTAACATGCCTCTAAAACCCACTGGCCACCACCTTCCATTGTTAAGGTGTTCTTCATGCTTGCTGGTCTCATTTTAATCTACAACCTATGTTCAACCCACAGGGCTGACAGAGTAAGAACTTGCCTTTAAATTCCAGTAGCTGAGCCCTTCATTTTTGCATAGTTTGATTCAGGAATAAATTCTACATATTAAACACATGCTAAATTGACATTTAATTGAACTTGAAACTCTTACAAATGCTGATATACAGCCAGCAAACAAATCTATTTGCTGTCTATTCAAGATAGTCAGACCTGCCTTCAGCAGGTCAGTTTATGAATGAACTAGGTTTTCAACCAGACCATTAGCATTTTTTCCTAAGAATCAGAAAACAAGAGATAGCTTGCACCTCTGAACCATGCAGCCTGGTATTAATCTGGGATTATAGAAGGTAGACAATCATTAAGCCAACCTTTTTCCTGCTCCCAAACATCTTTTCTCCTCTCTGTCCTTGTCAAGTTCACTGTTTCTTCAGTTACTATTTATATGAAGTGACAACCTATAATTGGTGTCACTAGACTCACCTGCCCATAGAGCACCACATGAGTCCATGAGGCACATTCAGAGTAAAGTGGACCAAAAAACAACTATCAAAAATGAATTAACTACAGCCAAAAATAAGATTCATATGCATTTTCTTTCAAAGGACATGAGAGTAAAATTTATTTTTAATAAAAAACTCAATATGCTAATATATTAAAATTATAGAAAAGGCACCGAACATAAACTGGTAATTTGACCAGAGAACTGACATCATTTCAGTGGTGACCTTCCCATGCCTCCCTGTGCACTGACAAGGTGATATGGTTTGGATCTGTGTCCCTGCCCAAATCTCATGTCAAATTGTAATCCCCAATGTTAGAGGAGGGGCCTGGTGGGAGGTGATTGGATTACAGGAGCAGTTTCTCATAATTAGTTTAGCACTATCCCCTTGGTGCTGTTCGTGATGATGAGTTTTTGTGAGATCTGGTTGTTTAAAAGTGTATAACACCGCCCCCACTTACTTCTGCTCTGGCCATGTGAGACAGCTCACTCCCCCTTTGCTTTCTGCCATGATTGGAAGCTTCCTGAGGCCTCCCCAGAAGCAGAAGCTGCTATGTTTCTGGTACAGCCTGCAGAACTGTGAGCCAATTAAATCTCTTCTTTATAAATTACCCAGCATTGTGTATTTTCTGATAGCAATGCAAGAATGGACTAACACACCAGGTCTCCATGGATCAGACAATTGCTCACAGCATTTGTGGCTGTGACACAGTCAATCTTAATGACAGAGGTCCCAAACAACAATGCCAAGGCTGTCATAATGCCACAGCTCTTGGAGTCAATCTAGCAAGCAGCGATTCAAATGTCTATTATCAATCAGAAACATCCTTAAAAACTGTTATTAATGCCAATATTTATTCCAAGTCAAGTATTCAAATACAGTGTGAATATACTGCTTAGCACCAAATCCTTCTTTGTGGATGAACTACTAGCACAGATCTATAAAAATGAATCAGAATTAGTTTAGGAGCAGAATACAAGGACCTAAGCTTTGCTACTCAAAAAGCCAGCCCCAGTAGCAATCTTCCCTCTCAATTACTTTCTTCTCAGCATTGCTCTATTCCTACCACCCCACATGCTCTTTCAAGGCTAATGTTATATCACTTTCACTCAGTTTTCTCAAACACACCCTGTGTATTAGCTTTGCTCAGGCCATGGTCTCCTCCAAAGCCCTCTTCTCTCCCCTGTGACTCCTCCCATTCGTGAAGGTCCAACTCAACACCTTCATGTTCTGCCACCTCTGTGGGCCTTTCCTGCCCTCCTGTCAATCTGTAGCCCACAATGCCTGTCCCAGCATGCACTTCTCAGGCTCCCTACCACTGCTGGATAGCTGTTTTAGGCCTTGTCCCTTTAACAACACCACAGATACCATGACAACAAGGACCACAGACATCTTTCTTTTTACTTCTCCAAAGGCCTATAACAGGCTAAAATGTTTCGGCCCCCACTGATAAAGAACACGCTAAAGTCAATTTCAACACTCTAGACACAGTAACAATCTTCTTTTTTTCTCTTTGCCAAAAAGAGTGCAATACCCAGATTATAGTATTCATCTGCATCTCTCTGTAAAGTTACTTTATGAGAGTGGGCTCTCTCAAAGGCACCACGTAGTTGGGCCTCGACTCTAATGACACGACAGAGGCTGCCCTCCTGGATGATGGGTAGGCAACAAAACAGGCAAACCCACAGCTCTTCTCTGGTTGCTGCTGCCACACACAGTGGAAAGGTGACAACACTCAGTGCTCAGGTTCCAGGGAAGAAAGATGGCCACAGTCCTTGTTCTCAAGATACCCGAAGCCCTGTTAGGCAGACAAGGTCCAGAGCAAGCTAACCAACAACGCCAGGGAGCCCAAGAAGGATACCTGAGACAGGTAGTATGGTCCTGGCATAACCAATCTTAATGTCAGAAACTTCCCTTATCTGTTCCCAAACAGCAATGCCAAGGGCTAATTGTCACAATGCCACAGTTTCATGACATTTTTTAAGGATCAGCATAAAGAACAAGCAAGGAAACAAAATCAGAGAGAACAAAAAGACATCTCTGTGGTTAACCCCAAGCCAGTGGAAACCACTGTCTGATCTCCCAGACTGGGGCTATACAACAAAGCAAGTTAGCATTGCCTATGGTTATAAGGCATGAAGCCTGGGAGATAGTTCCAGAAGATTTATCCTGCAGCGTTATCACATCTAAATAGGACAGAACAAGAGAGGTGCATGGGATGGTAAGGTTCAGAGGAACTCCCAGAGGTAGCAGTTAGAACTCACCAAGGCTTTCTATCAAGTCCAGAGACCCAGAGAGTGGGAAGCAGGTCAAGGACACACACAGCAGAGTCAAAGTCGGAGGACATGACAAGGGAGGAGCCCAGAGAGGAAGAAGTCTAGGCTGAGTTACATTAATCTCTATCAGGGCTGCACCCAACTGCTGGTGGCTACCCCTGAGTGAGAGTCAAGCAGAGCCAAGATCCTAAAGTTGAATGTTCCTCCCCAGGGATTCCTGACATTTTGAATTTCCTTTTCAAGTGGGAGTTTAAGGTTTCTGGGACAAGTATAGGATTTGTAAACATCTGCATTTTTCTGAATCATTTTGTGATGTAAAACTATAAAGCATGCTGATCCTTCTGTAACCATGGAAGTGAGACATGGAATCTCATGTTATCTCATGGTTGTATGGCCAACCGCACACATCCATGTAATGCCCAAACTACACCATAGTGGACAAAGAGCTCTACCTTCTGCTAACAAGGTCTTTTGCTGGATTTGAGCCAATGTTAATTTAGCCAAATTAAATGTCTTCTCTCATTCCTATGTATGATCTCTGGCAGTACCAGATGCTACAGAATCATCAGCTCTGTGAAAGCAGGACCCTATCTTGTTCACCACAGAGTGTACCTCATCTAATAAAGAGAGGGCCTGTTTCACATGGATAACGTTTTAAAAAATGCTCATCTCGTAATAGTTCATTAAACTGTACAATTATTTTAGGAGGTTTTTGTATTTGTCTTATACTTAACAATAAAAATATTTATAGAAATGAAGCAGACACATATCCTGCATGTGTAAGTAAATATAACACAAGGAAGAAGGAATTCAACAGGTACAAAACCCTCACTATGCCTCAAGTCCCTTATTTATAGTGTAAACATTGTTCATTTAATGCTTACCTCAAACTTACAAGTTTTGCTTCACTTTACAGATGGCAAAAGAAAAAAAAAAGCTCAAATGCTCGAGAGATTAAGTAAGAAGGGAACTAAGGTGGACTCCAGACACATCTGGCACTGAAACGAATAAGCTGATTTCAATGATGGATAGGTCACAAGGTACAGAGGGAGAACCTCTGGACTCCAGAAGCAGAAAAGGCCACAAAGGACAGCTAACATTTGGGATGCCATCCCTTTCACCACTCCTTGGACAAGGTCAGGATCTGAGAATTCTTTCCATATGATATCTCCTTAGTAAGCAATAATGGTGCTTTCTTTTTTTAATGTGGCTCAGCAGTCAAAGACAGAAATTAGAAGAGTTGAACAAGAGAAAAGATGAAATTAGTGAAAAATAGAAACCCCTGATTTAGAAACCTTATAGATTCCATTTCCAAAATAAGTCTCACTCTAAAAATATTGCTCTTGAAGGCTGAAATACTTTTTTAAAAATCTCAAATGGTACATTGATCTTACTAATGGCTTTCAATTTTTTTCAAGAGTTTCTAAAATCCATACAATCTAAACCACCATTCTTCTATGAAAGAAAAAAAAATAAAAGTAATTATTACAAAAAAGAAGAAGTCTAGCAAGAAAGTACAACATGACACCTTAATGGGACATCTTATTATCACTGAATACAAGAAAGGATTCAAAGATTAATGGGTTTATGCCAAAAGGACAAAGGAATCAGACTGAAGAGGCTTCTGGTGGCCAAATTTGGTCCAAATAATAATGACTATAATTGATTGTAACATACTGAATAGATGAAAACCCCTGAGTACACAGTAACGTGCATTAAAAAATTAAAAGTGAAAGGGGAAATCCTTATACACAATTATTTCCCATCTCTTGCTGTAGCCTCTGATTGAGAATCAGTGATCTGTTTCAGTGCTCAATTTTTGCTTTGTATATAAACTTTTTCCATTATAAAAGTAAAATAAAGTGAATAAGCACCATAGTGGGCAAGGCCTTTGGTGGCAGAGAAAGAAATTATCCTTCAGACATCCATCAGTTTTTTGAGACTATAAGGCAGAGGAAATGGGGTAAAAAAATGAAAACATTCATTTTATATTTGGAATTTCAGATAAAGAGGCAAGAGACTCTTCCCCTAACTTTACATTGTCTTTGGACTATGCTTTGAACAGGCTGTATTCTCTAAATGTTAGCTAAGTTCAATAATTTGCAGAGATGAGATTTAAAAATATAAAAAGCAAGAACTATTCCTCGAAGAAAGAAATAGTAAAAGAAGAGTCAATCCTAACAAAAGCTGAAAGGTAGGGAACTGACATCATGAGGCCTCGCGAGGTGCTTCTGTTAGTGAAGACGACTGTCTGGTATAACTGAAACACACCACACTCAAATCTAGGTTCCTGGAAAAGAGTCTCAAACCCACCACCCACTCACTGCGTGTCCTGGAGAAACCCCTTCCCCCTTTGCACTATGGTTTCCTTAATAAAAGAGCTGGTCTTGATGACATTCACTCCCACTCTATGATCTCACGAATATTTGAACTTCTATCTCCCTGTGCTGTGTGCCCTTGAAGGAATTAACTTCCTTGTACCTCAGGTTCCATCTCATTTGCAAATGGGATGTTAATAGTTCTTGTTCCTCACCTTTGCATATAGTAATGACGTAATATATGTGAAGTGCTTGGAACAGTGCCTGGACCATAGTAAACACGTCAAATATTAGCTATTGTTGCCATTACAATTAATAATTTTTAATTCCATCACCCATCCAAAAGCTAATAATCCTTCAAGGAGCAGCGCTGGTACCTTCATCATTCCAGCACATGAATCACCTCTCTTTGCCTCCCCTTTTCTCCTATGAACTATCTTTAGATAGAACCTGAATATCTACACCATTTCCTAATGAGATATGTGCACAGCACCCTACTCCAAACTAAATTTGAGGCCATTTCTTCTCTAGAGTGGGAGAGAGAAGGGAAGAGTGGCTGGAATAAGTCTAATACTGATTGTTCTAGTGACAGTAACAGAAGTCTGTTTGAAGGGAAAAATCAAGCATTGAAGAAAATCTAGTTGACCAGAGGGCCTAACATTCATGATTCAGATAGGCAAGTCTGGTAGTAGGATTAAAAGAATGTGGGTAAATGTTGAAGCTGAATACACATGGTTTATGATGCTGTTCTTTGGTTTCCTCTAGTTGAAAATTTCCTAATCACTGTTTTTTTTTTTAATTCAAGAAAAAGAATGGTTGAAAATAAAATCTTATCATTTATGATACTGGGGTATGCATTGTACAGATGACCAAAAACTTCCTAGCTGAAAAGCAACCCCTTGGATGCCTTATCTCTGCTCCCTATAACCGTGTCAAGAGATTCATCTTCAGTGTCTTAAGAAATAGTTTATGGAAGGTCTCAGCTATGAACACTAAGGGAATATGACATATTCAGAATGGATTACCATATGCCTTTTTTTTTTACTTTATCTCAGGACTAGCCCCTATGGAGGAGAAAGGGGAAAACAATAGAATAAAAGTGAACAGAATCACCTTCACCCCCCAATTACATGACTGTCCTGTCCCTTTGAAAGTCCCTTAGCAAAATGTGCTTTTAAAAAATTATGTATTCCTTTATTTTAAAAAAACAGAAATACCATTGTCTTTGGAATGTCCTCAGGGTTAGAACTATCTAAAAATAAAACATTACTTCAGGGACATGAAAAGAAATATAAATTGCCCAATGAATGTGACACCACAAAATGAATTAGACACAACAAAGAACTATATGAGATACACTTCTTTCAAAGCTGCCCCTTTTCAGTCCACAGTCCTTATAATTCAGTATGTCTAAGAACAGTATTAAACCAGAGAGGAAGTAAACTTCTGAAGGTTGGACAAGGGCAAAAACATCTAAAAAGGAGAAAACAACTTACCCAACGTCCTGTTCCAGCTTAACAGTCCATGTGCCATGTATGGGCAACTCTCTCATCTGTCTCAATCCATTTATTCAACAGATTGACTGAGCACTCAGTATGTGTGAGGTGCTGGGAGGGGGATGAGGAGTGAGGGACAGTTTCCAGTGCCATCACAATGTGCTGTAACAGAGGCATGTACAGGATACAGATGGATCACATGGGAAACAGTCAAGCCAGGCTGAGGAGTGGGGCGGCGGGGGGTGGGGGGGGGCTTTCCAAGTAATGTCTCTTGAGAGGCGAAACAGCTTGGTAGTTGAAAGCACAGGCTCAGGAACAGACTTGCTGGGCTCAAATCCCAGCACCACTGGCTCAGTGACTTTTAGTGGGTTGTTTAACTTCTTGTACTGTAAAATTGCAACTTTTTGAAAAAGTTACTGTTTTAGACGTATAGTGGGCATTAAATGAGTATTTTGTACAAAAAGTTTACAGGCCAAGTATGGTGGCTCACGCCTGTAATCCCAGCACTTTTGGAGGCCGAGGTAAGAGGATTGCTTGAACCCAGGAGTTCAAGACCAGCCTGGACGATAGAGGGAGACCTTGTTTCTATAAAACAATTTTAAAAATTAGCCAAGCACAGTGGTGCCTGCCTGTAGTCCTAGCTACTTGGGAAGCTGAGGCCAAAGGATCCCTTAAGTCCAGGAGGTTGAGGCTGCAGTGAGCTATGATTACACCACTGTACTCCAGCCTGGCAGACAGGGTGAGACCCTGTCTCAAAACAACAATAATAATAATAAATAAAAAGGTTAAAATAGCGCTTGGCAAACAAGTGACCATATAATATACTGTCTAAACTGGGATATTTTTAACAGGAAAGAGGGCAATACTAATTAATACACTATGACAAAAGGAGTCAACCAGAAGCGTCCAAGTCAAATCAGGACATTTGGCTACCCTCAATATGTGCTCATGGTTGTTATTATTGAATGATGTTGGCTAAGCAAAGAAGCAGGGAAAGGACGTTATGGCAGAAGTAACAACGCATACAACGACAGAGAGTCAAGAAACTGGGGTGAGTTCAAGGAATTCAGGTTCCTTTGCCACCCACTCCTGTAAGATGGACTTCCTTTCCTGCAGAGCATTCAGTGCCGCTGGCAGTTATGCACCATCATTGTGAATATCTGATTAGCATTTATTTCCCCCAGTAGACTGTAAACTCCAGAGAAGCCTGGTTTTGCTCAGCAAGCTTGGTTATGGGCACAAAGCAGGCACTCAAATATCTGTAGAATGGCTGTTGAAGTAACTTGGCATGGCAAAGGAGAGAGCACAAAGCAGACTGCAGAGGTCATAAAGTATGCTGCTCAGATTTATTTTCAAGACAAAATCTGCCACAAGGAGTAGAGTTAGCTGACAGCTCCTAGCTGTGGGTGTCTTTAGGATCTGCCACGGCTTTGAAGCTGAGGTCATGCTCTACTAAGGTAGCTCCAGCCAATAACCAAGCAAGGCTTGCCACTCCCAACCAATGGGGACTCCTCTATAGATGATCTTTGCACAAAAGTTCCTTGTTGCTCAGAGTTACATTGCAGTACAATGCTCTTCCTATCTGATTGTACTTGATTCCTTTCTTTTTCATGTGTCTCACTTGGTATTGCAGTCTAAAGTTTCCCTACCTACTCTTTTTCCCTTTCCCTATTATCTTTCCCCAATAGATCTTTTGCATTTCTAATCCCATGTTGGTGTCTGCTTCCTGGAAGAACCAACCAACATGAAGGCAGAGAGATACAATGCTGAAGCATTAAATAAGAGTCAGAGTTACAAGTGTTATGCAAAGAAATGTGAATTTTATTCTGGCCTGCAGGGAAATGTGACAGATCTATATTCCATATAGCAAGAATGGATTGAAGGAATGGCACAATCATTGCTGTGAACTGAATTGCGTTCCCCCCAAATTCATATGTTGAAGCCCTAATGTGATAGTATTTGTAGATGGAGTCTTTGGGAGGTAATTAGATTTAGATGAGGTCATGAGGGTGAGGCCCCTATGATGAGATTAGTGCCTTTATAAGAAGAGATACCAGAGTGCTTATTCTTTCCCTTTCTGCCGTGTGAGAACACGTCAAGGAGGTGGCCATCTGCAAACTGGGAAGAAAACCCTCACCATATTCTGACCATACTGGTACCCTGATCTCAAATTTCCCGCATTCAGAACTGTGAGAAAACAAATTTCTCTTGTCAAACCGCCCAGTCTATGGTATTTTGTGATGGCAGCCTGAGCTAGGACAGTCATCTTCCAGTGAAACGTCCAGATGAGAAATGATGAAGGTATGGATGAAGGCATGAGAAGTGACGACACTGTGCTATGGAACTGTTCAAGGAAACTGTAATTATCCACATTTTATATCCGAGAAGTTGTTATGTGGAAAGATAAGAATAACTTACCCAAGATCACCCATCTGGTCAGCTTAAAGTTCATGTTCCTTTCATCAAACGACTCTGCCACCCAGAGGAGAAGCTTTAAGGAGCTAAAGGGGAAGAGGATGAGTTCCTTTTTCATGTGAAGAGACCCTACTTGTGTCTATCTAGAGACTAAGCTTTCATTCACGCAAGTCCTAGTATTTAAAAAAAATGGAGAAAATATCCAAATATTAAGTACTAGGATGAAAGTACTTCACACTGGGTACATTGAACTGTACTGGCTTTCCTCTAGATATACACTTTACAATCAGCATGTAGCACTAAGTGTCTACTAATTTCAGCTTCTGAGTGTAAAAAAAAACAATATATGAGTTGAATGAAGGAAATGAACACACATGTGAATAACCAAATATGTGAAGAGATATGAACAAAGAGCTATGGAAAGGTATATAGGATCATTAATTCTGACTAAAGAGCTCTGGGAAGGATTCCAGGGGAGAAAGTGTTTGAGTTGGGCCTTGAAGAAGGAACAAGGATTAGACAAAGCATTCCTTCCTTGAAGTTATTGTCAAGACCAAAGGTAACCAACATATGTCCTTACATGCAAAAAATATGGTGAAGATGTAAATGAGTGGCTTAGTTTCTGCATCATACTTTATGTAAATCAGTTATTTTGAGGCCTCTGGAAGTTAATCACAACTCAAAGAGTTTGAAATTCACCTTCACATAGCCATCAGTTCCTTATTCCTATTTATACCCTCTACAGCAATGAATGTAAAAGAATGGCAAAAGAAGGGGCCGCAGACAGTGGACATCCTGCCATTATCCCTGTTAGGGATAATGCTCTTGGGAATGCAGTTGAACGGTCCCCCATCTGTGCTCTCCTCTAGGCTTCTTTTTCATGTGTAGGGAAGCTTAGGCAGCTCACTTTAGCATACAGCACTATTTTATCAAGCATCTACCTTGGACGAGATGACAAGTAAGTATGTGGAAAGAGTCCATTCCCCCTAATTGTGGCCTTGGCCTGTAGCAAGAAGACATCTGTGCAAAACTTAGATCTCACACCCCAAGCATTGGAGTGAGGCCTCTGGCTATATAGAGAAAGCACTCAGCCTCCACCCAGAAGCTCCTTTACATGATGAGGCCCTGCCTTGAAGAGAAGGCATACCTAGCACCTCTGCCTCAGCAGGTAAGCAAGACGGTCACAGTCAAGCAAGACACACCCTTATTCCTCGCTTTCAAGCTTCGTGCCTGTCCCATCTGTCATTCATTTCAGAATGATACTTTGCTGGGGCCCTTCTGACCTGCAGTTCCTTACCTGCTGCCATAAACAGAATGTTTGTGTCCTCCCAAAATTCACATGCTGAACCTAATCCTAATGTGATGGTACCTGGACATAGGGCCTTTCAGACATGATTAGATCATGAACTCTCAAGAATGGGATGAGTGCCCTTGTAAGAGGGACTCCAGAGAGGACCTTTGCTCCTTTCTGCCACGTGAGGACAAAGAAAGTAGATGGCTACCTGTAAACCAGAAGCGGACCCTCATCAGATATTGAATCAGCTTGCCACCTTGATCTTGGACTTCCAGCCTACACAACTGTAAGAAATCCATTTCTGTTGTTTACAAGCCACCTAGTCTATATTATTCTGGTATAGCAACCCAAACGGACTAAGGCACCTGCAAAATAAAGATAATGACGAACATCTCAACAATCCCCAAAGAATCACTGAGAGGATTTATGTAACTCTGTTTTTTGAAAGACCCATTCTCTGGACAAAGTTCCAGATAAATGTATATGCATTGCATATTCCATCTCACCTGACCAGGGTTGAAGGCCCCTCTTTACACACAGGGAACAAATCCAGGAGGAAATAAATGGTTTAGTAAAATGCAGTCAGCAATTATGTCTTCCCCTTCGTAAGTCACAGCTATCTGATCCATTCTTCTAGAACCTAATTATATACCACCGGCACTTCTCGCTGAATTCAATATTTATATAACTATTATTATATTTTGCAAGTTTGTCTTCTCTTCTCAATTTAATGGCTGAAAGTTTCTGAAAGGCAGCAATCATGTTTTAAGCATCTTAACACCCTTACAGTTTTGAGCAGAGAATAACATGCAAAATAATATGTCAATATCTATTCGCTGGATAAATGATTTGAAAATGATCAGTCCCTTCAAAGTCTTTTTCCTACAAGATCCAACTATGATAAAATATATGTGTGTGTGCATCAGAGAGGGAAAGAGAAAGAAAAAAACATTTCATATTTAGTAAATGAATAATTTGGTATTTTGTGCAACTATTCTGACTGAATAGATAACTTCAAAGCTTAAAACTCCTCCAGTTAAACATCTCAATTTTTTAATTACTTCCTGCTAAGTTGTATTTATTCTTGAGTTGATTAACTACTTAAATTACTGAGTTGCTATCAATAATTAAAACTCAAAATATCACTAATAATTCTGTGGCCTTTCAGAGGGTTACAGCCTTGTAACTTGTTCATTTTTCTTGGACCCCTCCAAGCCTTAATCTAACCCTAGCCACTCAGCTCATCTCTACAAAGACCCTAGCCACTCAGGTCAGCTCTACAAAGCAGCTTTGTAGAGCATCACTTGATTGCCACAAGGGTATCAGACACCGCCTAGTTGTTTGGGAGTAACCTGTCTTCTAATACTTAAGAATTGGGTAGGAAGGCTGGAGCCATCCCTGAGGTGATATAAAATGAGTGCATGTCCGAAAGGACTGAGAAGAATAGGGAGGTATATGCCCTGTCGTCCACAAAAAGCAACTCAGGAGCACATATGTGAGTCACTAAAAACAAAGATCTGAGATATACACACACACGTGTGCGCGCGCGCGCGTGCACACACACACACACACACTGAGCTCCATAAACTCCACCATTTTTCGCCAAAACATGCAGGTGAGACAGCCTTGCCCCATTTTGCCATCCCTCCATCCACTTTGCTACATGTTTCCATTTAGGGAGTTCTCTATCCTCAAAGGCTAATTTTAGTTTGTATAAAAGTCTTAGTTTGGAAGACACACAAAAACCTGGCAGCATCTGGGGTGATCACTCTGAATGCCCCCGGGCTGTCCTGGGAAGACACACTCTGCCTGTTTCCTCAGAACACAGGCAAACGAGTCAGCCTGGGAGCAAGAGCTCAGGGAATCCTGGCCAAGTACCTATTTACTCTATACACAAAAGACAAAGATTAGAGTCCTTTCTCGAATGGACCATCTCTCCTGTATCCCTAAGCAGCAGGCAGAGGAAGCTAGCCAACTCAAAAGGAAGTTACCTGGCCAAAGGAAGACTGAAGGTGCAGGGGAATTTAGGGGCACAAACAGAAAAGGGAAAGTGCTTTCATTTCTGCCTTCTCACTTTGAGAACTGTGGAAGTAGTCTTCAGAGAGGAAAAGTGACCCAAATATCCCTCCTAGGGATAAAGTCAGCCTTTGTTCTTGCTCAGGATTTCACAAGATCCATCCTTCACCCCAAGAACAAAGTGGGGAGAGCAGAGTGCTGACCTTCCTGGGTCAGACAACTCACTGAAATGGGTGTTCCAGGGTGCTCTGCAGACACCCAGGTAGCCTGGACGCCCTATCTCACCGCCTGCCCCTGGCACCTCCCCTGGGCAGAACCCTACCTCATATAACTTGCTCCTGGCTGAACACCACTGCCATCACTACAATAAAAGAGAAAAAAATATGAGTAGGAGAATAACAAAGCACAATTAAATGGGCCCTTTTTCCTCTCTGCAAAAATAAAGCCCAAGACTTTAGGAGTATTGTTTGCAACAATTTATAAAACATCGGCTGCCTCCTCTGCTCACCGCCAGCACAGCCCCAAACGGCCAGGTACCCACTTGCTTACTTCTCTTGCCCTTTGTCTGAGTCTTTGACTGGCTCAGCCAGACAAAGAATGAGAAACAACTGGAGCCTTGCCCTCCCAAGTCCTTGTCTCTTTGCCTTGGATCTATCTGCTTCTTGGGCTCTAGCATGACTATCTCATGTGAGGAACTGAGGCAGTGCCCCAGCCCTCCCAGCTCAGAGTGCTGTCATTCTGGCTTTGATGTGGTAACTGAATTCTGATTTCTTGGCCTTGCACTTGATTTCTCTTCCTTTCGTTGGCTTATCCACAGATCTGGATCCCCGTATGTGACCTAAGCTTGACTCCAGCTAACCTGTAAAGGTGGCGCAACCCAAAGAGACTGAGCCCCATGGCAAAGACGGGCTAAGAAAGACTGCTGCCCATTGCCAAAGCCTTCCTACATCTCAACCCAGAAAACTGTCTGTTGGCCTTTGGCCAAATGAGGATGGCTGGGCAATAGAACTGAAAAGGTAATCAGTTCTAATATTCTCAACCTATTTACACTAGAAAAATCTGAGAGAATAATTTAAAGTGGAAGATTATAGGACATAAACTTTAAGGGCAGAGTAGCTTACTTTTTATTACACATACTGCATCTGCAATTTTTCTCTTCCTTTTATCTCCTTTCTGCCCTTCTGTTATAGTCAATTGCTTCTCCCAAGCAGTCCTGCCCAATCTCCAACATCATGTTACAGAAATAAGCAGTAAGCGACTTGGGCTTTGAGACCCAAGTTCCAATCTCAACTTCCAAAAGACCTCGAGGAAGTCTTTTTTCCCATCTATATCACGGTCTCTTTACATGCATAATGAGGCAGTGGCATCCTTGACTCCTCGAAGTGCAAGCAGAATGTTAAACTGTGAAACAGACACACAGAAGGGGTTATTATTACTATTATTAGGGTCACGACCTACTTTTATGGAAAAGTTCCTTATTTTTTAGTTTTATCAAAGCATAACTGATAAAAAAATTTGCCCACATTTAATGTATATATGTTGATGAGTTTGGACTTATTAAAAGTACATGTATTTAAAAATCTAGACCCTTAAATCCTCCTCCTGCCTTCCTCCTTACCCAAATCTCGAGGGTCCCCACATTACTCAGCACCACATTCCTTTGTGGATCATCTCCTCCTTCTTTTGGACCTTGGTGGTCTCCAGATACCACCTGACCCCTTACCTAGCAATCTTTCCTCACTCTTTCAGCCTCACTCACTTGCTTCTCCTTGAATGCTGTGTTTTAAAGGAACATCACTTGCTTGTGGCCTCCTGTCTTTGTCCTCACCCTTCAAATTATCTACTACTTCTTATTTGATTCACTGCTGGCACAAAGCAGGAGAATCTCCTTGTTTCCCACAGCAACAAAACACAGGATGGGCGAAATAGCTTCTGATCTTTCCCCAGGGATCTTTTCTGATATTTTCCCAGGAAAGGCAGATCAAAACCACAATAAGATATCACCTCACACCTGTTAGAATGGATATTATCAAAAAGATAAAAAGGATAGGTGCAAGGGAGGAGGGATTACAGCAGAGAAGGAAAAGCCACGGGGATGTGCTAAGGAGGAGGAGTGATGAAGGACAACAACAGAAAACTAGTGATGGTCTGGACTTCTTGAGGGTTAGGATTACTATTCAGTAGGGTTGTTTTCACTTGCTAGAAATCACAGCAAAATAGTAAGAAATGTTAAATCACTGGTGATCAAAGAAATGGCCAAAAAATCCCCCAAGACTTCATTTTGTGCTTATTTGCCTAGCAAAAATTAGGAAGCTGGATAATGCCAAGCATTGGTGGAGTGTTGGGGAAACAGTAACCCCCAAGAACTGCTAGTAGAGCGAAGTCTGGTAGAGCTATCCTGGAGAGCAATCCAATACTACTTAGTTAAATTAAGTATGACCCAGCAATTTGACTCCCTTGTATATATCCCAGAGGAATGTTGATGTGCAATCAAAAGCAGCTGCTGACAGCAGTATTGTTTGTGGGGAAGGGGAGCTTGAGGGAATCGAGTGAGCATCCCTGGCCGAACAGATGGATAAAAATGTGGTGGATGCTCTGTGGAGAAGCACAGCAAAGAGACGCAGCAGGTTTGATGTACCCATAGCAACATGGATAGAGCCTAAAATTGCAAGGCTTAGTGGGAAAAAAGAGAGATAAGATTTGTTATAACACATGAATACAACACAATACATATTTTATAATATACTCAAAAAGATGTATGGATGGTCCCTGGCTTATGATGGATCTACTTATTATTTTTTGCCTTTACAATGGCACAAAAGTAATACACATTCAGTAGAAAATCTACTCTGAATTTTGGATTTTGATTCAAAATTATTTATAAAAACTTTATTATAAAATAGGCTTTGTGGCCAGGTGCAGTGGCTCACGCCTGTAATCCCAGCACTTTGGGAGGCCAAGGCAGGTGGATCACCTGAGGTCAGGAGTTCGAGACTAGCCTGGCCAACATGGCAAAACCCCATCTCTACTAAAAATACAAAAATTAGCTGGGTGTGGTAGCACATGCTGTAATCCCAGCTACTCAGGAGGCTGAGGCAGGAGAATCGCTTGAACCTGGGAGGAGGAGGTTGCAGTGAGCTGAGATCACACCACTGCACTCCAGCCTGGGCAACAGAGCAAGACTTCGTCTCAAAAAACAAACAAAAAAATAGGCTTTGTGTTAGATGATTTTTCCCAACCGTAGGCTACTGTAAGTGTTCTGAACACATTTAAGGTAGGCTAAGCTATGACGTTCAGTAAATTAGGTATATTAAATACATTATCAACATTTTTAACTTACATTGTGTTTATCAGGATGTCACACCACCATAAGTTGAAAAGCATCTGTACATGAAAACAAATTAAAATGATTGCTTGTTGGGGGGGAATCAAATGAAATATGAAGATAAAAGGAAATAAATATTTAAGTAAATAATCAAGAGGGAGTCTAATAAAATGCTATTTCTTGGTTCCATGTACCAAGAAATAGGATTCACTCAACTCTCTGTGCCTGTGATTTTAAACAAAATAAAACAAAAAACCTGCCTCAACTTTGGAGACAGGTACAAGTAACTTGAAACTCCAACTCTACTACTTTTTAATTATATTACTTGGGAAAAGTTGACTAATCTCTATGAATCTCAATGAATGACCTGATTAAAAAATGGGGGGCAAAGGACCTGAAGAGCTATTTCCCAAAAGAAGACATACAAATGACCATATTTTTCAAATATGAAAAAATATTCTACATTACTAATCATCAAGGAAATACAGATCAAAACCACAATGAGATATCATCTTACACTGCTAGAATGAATATTATCAAAAAGATAAAAGATAAGTGTTGGTAAGGATGTGGAAAAAAGGAACTCTTGTACACTGTTGGTGGGAATGTAAATTAATACAGTGACTATGGAAAACAGTATGGAAGTTCCTCAAAAAATTAAAATAGAACTACCATATGATCCTACAATCCTACTACTGGGTATATATCCAAAGGAAATGAAATCGGTATGTAGAAGAGATATCTGCACTCCCATACTCATTGCACCATTATTCACAATAGCCAAGATATGAGATCAACTTAAGTGACCATCAACAGATAAATGGATAAAGAAAATGTGATATATATATATATATATATATATAGAGAGAGAGAGAGAGAGAGAGAGAGAATAGAATACTATTCAGCCTTAAAAAAAAAAAAAGAGAATCCTGTCATTTGCAACAACATGGACAAGACACTATGTTAAGTGAAATAAGCCAGGCACGGAAAGACAAATACCACATAATCGCACTTACCTGTGGAATCTATAATAAAAGAGGAGAACTTATAGAAGCAGAGAGTAAAACAGTGGACACTAGGGACTTGGGAAAACGGGGAACTGGGAAGATGTTGGTCAAAGGATACAAAATTTCAATGAGACAGGACTAATAAATCCAAAAGACCTATTATACAACAACGTGATTATAGTCAACAACAATGTACTGTATACTTCAAAATTGATGAGAGTAGATTTTAAGTGTTCTTACCACAAATAAATATGTGAGATAATTCATATTTTAATTAGCTTAATTTAGCCATTCCACAATGTATACATATTTCAAAACATATTTTATAAAATAATATATACAATTTCCATCTGTCAATTTAAACAAATAAATAGGAATGAAGTACCAAGACATGCTACAACATGAATGAACCTTGGAAACATTTGCTAAGTAAAAGAAGCCAGACACAAAAGGCTGCGTATAGAATGAGTCCATTTATAGGAATTGTCCAGAATAAGCAAATCCAGAGATACAAAGTAGATTACTGCCTGTCAGGGACTTAGGGGAAACGGGGTAGGGCATGACTGCTAATGGGTATGAGGTTTCTTTTGGGGTGACAAAAATGTTCTGAAATATAGTGGTGATAGTTGCACAACATTCTACATATACTAAAAATCACTGAATTGTACATTTTTTAAAAGGTGCATTTTATAATACGTAAATTATAACTCAATAAAGCTGTTATTTTAAAAAGAAGGCCTGCTTTAAAAAGTACCATAAGGTATGCGGTAAAGAGCAAAAGCAAATAACTTCCGTGGGGTATTCTTTGGCCACGTGTATTCTGTGTTCCCCTTTTTCTACATTAAATGTGGTAACTGACATAAGAGTTATGATCCCATGATCTTGTGAAATACTTAATAATTTATATTATATTATCCTTAATAATTTTATATTAATGAAGGTTTAAAACTAAAGCACTTTTGGCTAAATCCTGAGGTAAACAGAGAATAACCCATTCTCTGATTATCCTGAGGCTTTATTACATATTTTACTTGACAGGTTTTAGCAGTGTCATATTCATTATAATAAGTACTTCTTAATTCTAAAATCTGTCCTTAATCATTATTTTTACCTCATTGACCTCACTGTTGTGTGAATATCTTTAGATGCCATTTGCAGGGATCTCTTTCCCAAATGTCATCAGGATTCTCCTAATGATCTGGTAAGCTTAGAAATGGAATAGAGAGCCCAGAAATAAACTCCTTGTGCATGGTCAAATGATTCTCAACAAGGGTACCAACACCAAAGGACTGTGTTTTCAATAAATGGTACTAAGAAAACTGGACATCCACATGCAAAAGAATGAAGTTGGACGCTTGTCTTACATCATATACCAGAAATCAACTCAAAATGGATTAAAGACCTAAATGTCAGATCTAAAACTATCCCAGAAGAAAATGTAACATTGGAATTTGACTTGGTGATTTCTTGGATATGATATCAGAAGCACTGGCAACAAAAGCAAAAGTAGACAAATGGGACTACATCAAATGTTAAAACCTTTGTACATCAAACAACAATATCAGTAGAGTGAAAAAATAACCTATAGAATGAGATAAAATATTTGAAAATTATATGTCTGATAAAGGGGTAATATCCAGAACACAGAAAGAACTCCCACAACTCAACAAAAAAAGTCAACACAATTTTTTAAAAATGGGCAAAGGATTTTGTGTATTATTTCCATAGATAATACACAAATGGCTAACAAGAATATGAACAGATGTTTAACACACAAATCATCATGCAAGTGAGGAAAAATATTAAATGAATCTGGGTGTTATGGGCTAAACTATGATCCTCCTGCCCCAATTTACATGTTGTAGTCCTAACCTCAGAATGTGATTATATTTGAAGATAGGGTCTTTAAAGAGATAATTAAGTTAAAATGATTTCATTAGAGTGGGCTCTAAACCAATATGACTGGTGTTCTCATAAGAGGAAGAAATTTTGACACAGACATATATACAGGGAAATCCATGTGAAGACACATGGAGAAAACAGCCATCTACAAGATGAGGAGAGAGGGCTCAGAAGAAACCAACCCTGCTGACACCCTGATCTTGGACTTCTGGCCTTTAGAATCATAACAAAATCCATTTTTATTGTTGAAGCCACCCACTCTGTGATACACTGCTATGGCAGCCCTAGCAAACTAAAACAGTGAGTAAAGAGTATATGGGTATACTCTATAGCCTATGTTGCAACTTATTTAAAATCCTGAAATTATTTCCAAACAAAAAAGTGAATTCCTACTGAACACATTTTGCACACCAGGCATTGTACAATATGCTGGTAACAGAGAGGGGACAAACAAAAATTCCTGAGCTCCTACCTTAAATGAGATCAGAGCTGCATTAGTAAGCTGTCTGGTGTCCCCATCTCTTCAATGGGAGTTCCCTGAAGACAGCAAATGTTGAATTTTTTTTAAAGGCAACATAACATTCAGAGCAGCTGCAGTACCCTAGCACCCTCATACCCATCTTCAGCTCAGAATGCGATTCTTTTTTAACGACAAGAGACTGTTAAACACACTCACACAAACACACACAGATACACACACACACACACACACACACACATACATCAGAGAAAGCATTCACTGCAAAGAGTTTACTGTACTCAGAGAAACAAAATGGTTTTTCTGTGGGTCGCCTACCAGGACAGGGACATTGCTTTGTTACAAAGAATGAGTCCTTGGTATGAAATGAAATGTTGCAATGAGATTTAAATCATGCTCTCTTCTTAATACACTCTTCAGGGATTATTATGTGTTTCCTTTATATCTGTAGTTGCAGCACTTGCTTATAGGTTGCACTAGGGTTCTAAGCCTTTTCCAATGGAGAATCCACCTTTAAATTTCCTCAGTTTGTTTAGCTCACTGCCCACAAGTTAAGGGGAGAGAAAGGCAGCAGCAGCAGGTACACCACAGCCCTGCAAGTGCCAAAGTTGAACTGCCTTATGTCAGAGATAACTTGGTAAAGCCATTTTGTACTCCTCTCTTGTCCTCACTTGTGTAAGCCCTCCTCTCCCAAGACCAGAACCTTTCCAGAAGACAGGCACAATATCTCATACTTGACACTCTGAGGGTCTCTCTAACTCTGTGACTGTGGCAGGCTATCAAAATGTTTGAATTATCTGAAAAAAAGGTGTGGTAAGGCTGGCAATGACCCAGGATTGTTATTATACTGGTGATGTCACTCAGTGCTTCCAGAGGAAGCAGGAAAAGAAACAAGTGCTCTGTACTGTTTAGGGTCTTCATGGACATTTCCTCACCATTGAATGAGGTATGATGTATGGTACTGAGCCATGAGAGAAGACTGGGCAAAAATGCAGCAGTGGGCTCTGATAGGAAGATGAGAAATTTAGAAAGACATTTAGTGAGTAAAAATAGTGAATAAAAATAGGATATATTAAATGAACACATTCAAAGAATATGTAAATATACAAAATACTGTGGAAAAGCAGACAAGGAGACTGAACAATGTACACATTCCTGGAAGCGTAAGAGTGAGGTGAGTCAATTATACAGCGGGACTTTGACCAAACAGACAGACAAAGCCTGGACAGATCATGCACCAATCCTGGC
This sequence comes from Homo sapiens, assembly GCF_000001405.40. NCBI lineage: Eukaryota > Metazoa > Chordata > Mammalia > Primates > Hominidae > Homo > Homo sapiens. The sequence goes on along the minus strand of NC_000003.12, from coordinate 133,069,738 downwards.
TACAGGATGATGGGTAAATATAAAGTCTTAAGAAATGAAGGAAGCTGGAAGCCAGAAGCCAGAATGGAGTATCACATGATGCCACTAATTCTACCTTAAGGGCAGGCTAAGGGAGGAGTTTGGGTATTAAATAAAGGATCAAATATAGAGGAGAACAGCTTGGGTTTTAAATAAAAGGACTTGTACTGAACTGGACCTTAAGTTCCTGTAAGACCTTAAAAGATATGACTTTATACTAGTTAATTTGAATAAGTCCCCCAGATGCATGCTGCCTCCACCATTTCTTTGCACTACCACTGAAACGAAGGAGTCCTGAGGGAGTAAAGTAAGTGCCCTTATTTTATTAGCTAGACATGCATTTGTCTAATTACTTCTTAGTTTATTTTAAAAAAGAACTGGTTCTCTTATGTAAAGACCCAATGCCAAACCAAAATCAACCATGTGACCCAGCAAAGACCTGTAAGATATTAATCTAGGACCAATAAAATAAGTCTGTAATCATAAATGCAATGGTATTGTTTGTAAAGAAATTGCATTCTTAAGTAAAGTCTTCTAAACCAGAGCCATCGGCTCCATCCTCATGAAAATGTGAAGTGTGTTAGTTCACTATTCTACTGGTGGTGCCATCTTTAGGGAAAAGAGGTCATTCAAGGGCTCTCACAACCTGGCAACAGCTTTCTCTGTCTCTCTAAATTCATTTCCCAGCCTTCCTTTGTTCTATCCAAACATGGATGTACACTGTTTTGTCCTGCTTGGAATGCCTTCTCTATTCCCTACTATTTAACTTTTACTCATCCTTCCCTGTCTATATTGAGCCTCACAGCTGCCCCAGGAAGCCTTTCCTGATGGCTTCTGGCAACAGTTATTTCTTCCTTTTCTAATCCTGTAACAAGTCTTCTTTGTACAGCTCACTTGGCATTTAGTACTAACGGTTTTCTTATGTGCTTCACCACCCCAAATGATTATGAACAACTTCTAGAGGACAAGGACCCCACTTTATATCCTCACAGGTAACAGGTGCTGCAAATGTTTGAAATTTTGTGATTGTTTTGAACACACAAAAAAATCACTCGATCATGATCCTCAATCCAATCTTCACATATCAGCAAAAGTTATCTTAAAACTTCAACTAGATCATATCATTCTCCCTTTCCTATCCACATTTTGAACCCTTCATCAGCTTTCTCTTGCCCTTAAGTATAAATCTATACTCCTTACCCTGACTAGGAGGTGGTATAAGATTTCTCTCTTTCTTAATTTCTTGCCACAGTCCTCCAAACAAGCATCTGCCTTCCAGCCATACCTGCCCTCTTACAACTATTAAACATGCCAGTTTTATCCTGCCTCAAGTTCCTCACACTTTAACCTCTTGGCCCGAAGTGCTGCCTCTGTTTCCTTCTCTCCCTCCAACCTGCCCCACACATAGTAGTCACAACACCTGGCTAACCTTTTCCCATTGGTCATGTCTCAGCTAAGTTCACCTGCCTGAGAGGCCTTCCTTGGCCACACCATCTGCTATGATTTGAGTATGTTCTCCTAAGTTCATGTGGGAAACTTAATCCCCAATGCAACAGTGTTGGGAGGTGGGACCTTTAAGAGATAACATTAACATATTAATATATTATATAACATTAATATATTATATAACATTAATATATTAATGTTACATCTCAGGGATTGGTTAGTTACCATGAAAATGAGCTCCTGATAAAAGGATGAGTTTAGCCTGATTTCCCCTCTGTCTTATGTGCTCATTTCTGCCTTCCACGGTGGGATGACCCACACCAGATGCTGGAACCATGCTCTTGGACTTTCCAGTTTCTTTTTTTTTTCTATGCTGCTGTACAAATTAACCTTCTAGTTTTTAGAACTGTGAGACAAGTAAACTTCTGTTCCTTATAAATTACCCAGCTTACTTTGTTACAGCAGCACAAAACTGAGACACCAGCTAAAGTTCATTTCCATGTTATTCATCTCAGCACCTGATGTTCCCTTCATAGCATTTTAACTTATCACATACTTGTTTACAGTCCTATTGGCCCTCACCACCTTAGCTAGACAAAAGTCTCTGAGAGCAAAGTACTTACCTTAACATATACCAGGTCCAGTGTCAATGAATTATTCAACTTATGTGTTGAGCTAATTAATAGAGAACCACGACTGAAGACACTTGAAATGTGTTCTAAATTTTTAATGTAAGCAAGTAGTAGCAGATGAACATTCATAATTCAGAGAGCTAAAGCAGGTGAGATGTAGTCAAGCTTTAGATGGATGCTATGAAGGAAAACTTCAGGGACAAGAGAGAAGTTGTGAAGGAAGGTCTGGTGAGTAAGATGAGCAGGATATATATAACTCATCTCTGGTGCCAGGCTTCTGGCCTAGCAATACCTTTATAAAGAATGCATCAAATACCTACCAGATGGGCAAATATCAAAAAGCCACACAATGCCAAGTATCATAAGGCTGTGAAGCACACGAGCTCCTCTTACACTAGTGGGAGCAGAAATCTCTTTGGAAAATAATTTGACATTATCTAGTAAAGCTTAATATGCACAGCTGATTATCCCCATGACACAACAAATTGGTAATTCTAAAACCTAGAGAAAGTCTCACACATATATGCCTATGTAAGACATACAAAAGGGAGTCATACCAGGAGACACAAATAAGAATATTGATAGCATTGTTTGTTGTTCATAAGGAAATGGATAAGTAGTACATGTTTACCCAAGTGAAAATGAATGAACTATAGGTACAAATTTCAACATGGGTGAATCTCAGTGCTGAGCACAAGAAGCAAAGATCACAGAAAAAAACATGCACATTATTGTTTCATTTTCACTCATTTGTAAAGAGATGTTAAAATATAACAAAAGTAAAGAATAACTGCAAATTTTAGTGTACTAATTACCTCTAGTAGGGGAGAGAGGGAGGGAATGCAATTGGTAAAGAGCACATTGGGGGCTTCAAAGGCAGTGGTTATGTTTTATTTTTAAGCTAGGCAGAGGGTATGCACTTTATTCTTCATAAATAATATATACATTATAACTGCTCTTCTATGTATAATAAATTAACTTTTTAAAGATTAACAAACACTGAGTAAACTATAGAAGAAGGAAGGTAAATGGTTTGCTCCTATACTAAGGATATCACGTAATGGAATAGAGGTCCTTTTTAAATGGTTTCTAGGATGCCCAACGCTTCATATATGTGTCCATGCAAAAGCATGAATATCGGCCCTAAAAGCCAGCAATTTTCTCAGACCTTTTCAAGTTCTATTCTTATTATCTTGCTTTTTTTTCTTATTTCTTCTATTGCTTACACTCTTAAATTTTAAGTTATTATTTTTTATGAATCTTTGTAAACCATCCTAAATCCTTTCTAGAACAAGGTATAAAATAAATGAGATGTACATTATAAATAACAATATAGTAATACAAAACAGACTGAAGAGATCACTGTGCAACCAGGCACACACAACACTAAAGAGGCTCATACCAGATGGCAATGGGAATGAACTTGGTAGTTATCCCAGCATAACACCAATTAAATTCCAAGCTCCAAGAAAGTCTTTACTATAGAGAAAAGACGAGTCTAAGTAATGGGAATTACTTAGACCAATGGGAATCTAATAAGGAATGTCACGTTTGGGCCACCAAATATAGTAAAGTAATTGGAATATAAGTACATGTGAAGAATTATGACAATAAAATCCTCAAAAAACCACACTAATGAAGCAAAAGAGAGTAGCCTTATGTAGCTATTGTGGTTGCTCTGAATCCTTACACTTAACTTAGAGAGTATATTTACCCATCAAAGAAGAAACTCCAGCACAGTGTATTTCCTTGTTCACGGAACTAAAATTGCCATGCATTAATAACCCAACGATTATACTGAAAAATTCAGATGTGCGGTCCCACCCATTTTAAGCCTTGAAAATGGCTGAACTATGTAGAAATAGGCACATACTGGTATTGTAATTTCCATTTTAAAATGATATTTTCATTCCTAGAATGCTATGTACAAATGCGCATACCACTAGAATGCCATATGGACATAAATTTTTTTTAAATTTAATAAGAATTGGCCCAGTTATGAATAAAACAACTTGTTGGAAATAAGGTTGAGAAGCTATTAATTAAATGCAGCATAGATGTTCTTAATTAGAAAATATGCACCTTATGTCAAGGTCCTTTCATTTATTTTTAGGAAGAAAGAACCTGTTTCTGGAACATGAAAAAAAAATTGGGTTTCTTTTATACTAACTAGAGCTACAAAATATCAAAACTAGGTCAGAGGTGGAGAGATCAGACTAACCGCACTTATTTACCATAGCTGGGAAAGGCATTCTTCTGTAATGGAAAACTGTGTGAACCAACAGTCAGGTGTCTCTCTGCATATGCGAACATCTCTGTGCATGTGTGTGTGCATGTGCGTGTGTGTGTGTGTGTGTGGCTACCTATGTAAGTGTTTATTTGTACATATCCTTACACACAACCACACTTTTGGAGTCCACAGAATTAAAAAAGAATACATAGTGCTAAAAAAAATGCAGTGACAATTTAATCCATCCAACAAATACACATTGAATAGCTCTATGTTCGAGGATCACATCATTGTGACTTTAGCATCTATGCCTTCCCAAATGGTGAGATAGTTTCCCCAACTTCACCATGTAAGACATAAAAGGCCTGGTTGTGCCTTGTAAAAGTTTACAGGCTGGAAGGGGTCTGATTTCACCCTGCTATCTCAGGACTTTCCAGATCTTCCAAAGGACTGATGATCATGACTCTATCACAGAGGAGAGGAAGTATCAGTGTAAAGTTCTGGTTGGAAAAAAGACCAGTAAACCAACTTTGGCTGTGTTTATTATTTACATACTGCATAAGTGATCTCTAGGATAGATTTATTTGTAAAGAATGAAGGGACACCAGTGAAACCATTATTTCATCAGCATTATCTTCCCCTACTTCAATCTACCTTTGGAACCTCTATCACGTGCTTAACTGTCCATTAAAAAAAAAAAAAAGGTTTATTTCTCTAACCAACCTTTATATTCCCATTTGGTCCTTCACTATGTTTTGAAAATTGTGACTCAAATCTGAGAAGTCCTCTTACATACAAAGTGGAACTTTAAAAGTGAAGTATTAAAACAATTCAAGTATTTCATAAAATCACATTTCTGTACAATATCCTTGTAAAGGAAGCAGGATTCCAGAAAGGGGAATTAGAAATAAAATTAAGTCCTTTTGGCAAATCTTTCCTGAATCTCTTTATTTATACAAATATGTTTAGGGCTCAACAGACTGTGACATAAAGAATAAAGATATTAAAGACCCACGCATCTGTCCACAAGGAGACAGTAAGGATTTATTAAGGAGTTCATTTTGAATTTCAAATCTAGTGCTTCCAAAGAGTTAAACGTATATTAATTTCCCTAATATAGATTAAAGGTCACTTCATGTATTTAATTTCTTTTGGCTTGTACTATGGAATCTCTTCTGGAGTGACCAGAAGATAGAACTGAATGCTTTTTAGCTCAGGAGAAGTGATAACTGGTTTTAGACTAAATGGCCTTCCTGCAGACAGTATCTCAATTCAATAGAGTCTTACAGGGCACCATCACACACGCTCTGTCCTCAGACTGGCAGACATTACCGCTTTCTTCTGTCCAGACAAAAGAAACACAAGTAACTGGGAAGGAAAGAAGCAATAAATGAATGAAGGATCCTCACTGGGCACAAAGTAATCAGAAATATGGCACAAGGGAATGCTGTCTATGTGGTGAAATACGTGAAGTGATCCACAAAGTTGAATAAAACATGAGAATGTTCCATGACCTCTACTGTTCATTATACTTCCCTGGACAGGGGTAATGAATGCTTGGTCTCAAGGCAGCCCCTCCTCTGGCTGGGGTTAAATGGGGGCCCTATGTGCTCTGTATAAGACCACCCCCTCAAGCAGGAGTCCAGCGGGAGACCCAAAACCCTGGGTGCTGTCCTTTCTCCCATTCCAGTCTATAAATCAATAGCCTTGGGAATATCAGGACTAACTTAATCATATCTTTTATCCCTGTTAAGAATACAAGGAGAAGCCCTCAAGGACTCACAAGTCATTTCTCAACCTTACACTTTTACCACCATATGGCTCTTTCCATTCCTCTTCCTGACCCTATCACCCACCATTCCCAATGCTTGAAACCCTTTCCCTGTGCTGTCTGGAACTTATAGTCATTAGCAAGATCCCACTGCTCACTCCACCTCTAGCCCCCCTATGTGGTGACTATTTTCTCCCCACATTCCCTGAACTTCAAGGCTTAGAGGTAGAGTGGGTTATCTTTATCACATCTATACCACTGTCCCTCCTTTCTTCTGTAAAATCCTGACCTTTGATTCACACAAAATCAGACTATATTGCCCACTCTCCCTCATTCTGGGAAGATCTGGGTTCCTGGTTCCCTGTCACTCTTCATCACTCCTGTGGCCATGACTCTAAGTGAATTCAGTAGCCACAGAGATGATCATTCCAATACCCTGGCTTTTCAGTCCCTGTTCTCTGCCCTAACTCCAAGGTCACACACCACTTCTTAGCTGAAATTCCTCCATGTTGCTCTCCCACCACCAACATCTCCTGTCAGTTTCCCATCTCTGATACCACAACTTCAGCAAGTCTCTGACCCCAGGGAGACCTCCAACCCATTGGATACTACAGCTTTTCACTGTCCCTCACCCTCCTCATGTCCAAATTCACCTCCTTAGCCAATTTAAATTCCACAGTCAATTGTCATAACCACTCCCTTCCATACATGCTGAACTCTATCCCCACTCTAGTGTGGACCTGCTCACTCGGCAAAAACATGGCCTCGTTCACTTCAACACTCCACTCATACACATGAAGGCCCAGAGGGAGAAAAACACATAACACCTTTGAATGATCTCACTCGAAAGCCACAATATGGAACCTCACATTGCTTAGGTGATTGGCAAAAGTCCTCAGAAGTGTTGTCTCCAAACCTTCTCCTTCCATTCTCACTTGAATCCACAGAAGCTTGATAAATCTTTGTGGAAATGAACTGACATTAAGTAACATCACCAGATTTTAGACTAAAACAAATTTAATTATGTGTAAATACATTTTATATGAGATTTACTTCAGATTTCAAAGGCAGTTTGTGTCCTGGGTTAGAATGTTTCCAGAGATTCCTCTTAGCACAAATTCTTATGGTAAGACTATAAAAGAGGAGAATGTGTGGCAGAGAACATTAAAGATTCAAGGTCACTAACCAAATTCCTTTAAATCTATCCTGATTCTTCAGACCACAGGCTCATATCCTACTGGCTCCAAAGACTGTTCTACTGGTCCATTAGCTAGAGACAGATGTTTTTATTCTCTGAGCCTAAAGAAAATTACAATAAAGATGAGACGTTAATAGAAAATTAATAAAATTATCAAAAACTCTAAAAAGCTTTCCTAGCTATTGTTTATCCATTGGGTTAACAGGTTATGATTTTCCAATGTCAAAAACTAATATGATGCTGCTAAAGGAACATCAGAAAAGAAAAACTGGATGAAGGAATGACTAAGCATTGATTTTACTTGCAAAGCTAATTAGTGACCTTTTCTCCTAGAAAATGCATTCTTGGACTTTCTCTCCAACACTGCCATCCAGAAGACTCACCATCCATGCTATCAGATTTAAATTGCACGTTTTTAGGATACCTAATTAATTGCCAATGAAGGAAATTACTAGTTCCTTTTGAAAAATACATGCCCCAACTGGTAGCAACACTCAGTTAAATGGTACTGGAGGTCTACACATTATGCCCAAACCCCTTCCCTTGAACGCAAAGCAATCACTAATATTCCTTTCATATTTGGGTAAATCCTCAAGGTAAAGTGATAAATCTGAATCCACATGCCATTATAAAATTTCTCCTTGGTGGGTACTTACATATTCCACACACCAGTGCAGTATGCCTACTTAGTAACATATAGCCTTGAAATTATTCTAAACTTTAAATTCCTAGGGAACAAGGACACCTCTCTGTATTCATATCCCCTAGTTTTATAGGGCATATACAGTTAATAAATGCTCTATGAAAGCAATGTCCAATCCTCTGTACCCATTTAATACTCTGACTTAATTAGACGATGCTGCAAGCACTTGGTCAGTAGGGCAATGCATGTTTTAAATATTGTTGTGACTTTTAAGAATGAGACATGCCCGGCTGGGCACGATGGCTCATGCCTGTAATCCCAGCACTTTGGGAGGCCGAGGCGGGAGGATCACGAGGTCAGGAGATGGAGACCATCTTGGCTAACACGGTGAAACCCCATCTCTACTAAAAATACAAAAAAAATTTAGCTGGGTGTGGTGGCGGGCGCCTGTAGTCCCAGCTGCTTGGGAGGCTGAGGTGGAGAATGGCGTGAACCCGGGATGCGGAGCTTGCAGTGAGCAGAGATCGTGCCACTGCACTCCAGCCTGGGCGACAGAGTGAGACTCTGTCTCAAAAAAAAAAAAAAAAAGGAGACATGCCCATTGTACAAACATTCAAATGACACAGCAAAATGCCGAAACAAAACTAAAAATCACTTGGAAAAAACACTGCTAAGATTTTATTGAACAGGCCTTGCATGTTCATATACATCCATACATTTACAAACAATTTTATGTAAATAGGCTCATATTATTTATGTTGTCTGTGATCAGAATTGTTTTAAATAACATGTCAGGGATATCCTTCCATTAAAAACAAATAAAGAACTACTACATCATTTAAAAAAATCATATGGTATTCCACAGTTGACCTGTATAAGTATTTAGTTTCCTAATAATAAATTAGTTAACAAGTCTCCCACTAATAGGTATTTAGGTTATTTCTAGTTTTTTTTCGTACAAACACAAATATGTAGTGGGTATCTCTGTGCATGTATCGTTTCATGGCTATGCAGTTAGACAAATACTAGAAGCTGAATTGCTGGGTCAAGGTGTACACACATTTTACACTTTTATGTATCTTGCCAAACTGCCTTCCAGAAAGATAACAGCATAGACAAATACTAGAAGTTGGACAAATACTAGAAGTTGAATTGGTGGACAAATTCTAGAAGGTATTTTCATCCTCATGACCTAATTAGCTCTCAAAAACTCCACCTGGAAATACTATCACATTGGAGATTAGATTAAAACATGAATTTGGGGGGTATACAAACAGTCCATAAAATTATCAAACTGTAAGCTATTCATAGAATAGCTAAGCCATATGCCCCAGTGAAATGCAAAATCAAAGTACTTGAACAATGAAGTTTTCTCAGCACCCCCACAAAACTCATAGGGATAAGCCCAGGGCAGGGGAGAAATCTGTGCTACAGGCCATGCTCTACTACGTGTGAGCTACTGACTGACCTTGGGCAAGCTACTTCCCTTCTCTGGGTTGATAATCCTTAGCTTAAACATTACGTCCTCATAACAGCCTTCTCAGACCACAAGGCAGCTCCCCAACATGGGCTTTTGTAGCTTTTGGTACTTAAAGCTCTCCTCAGACTTTTAAATACTTGCTTAATGTCTATCCTCTCCACCTGATGGAAGTTCTATGTCTATCCTCACCTCATATCCCCTGCTCCTCACACAGTGCCTGGCACAAAAGGGATGAAGAAAGGAAGGAGAGAATAATAGAACAAATAAACTGATGATCAAAAAATGAGGTGGTAAACCAGATGACCTCTACGATGTGCTTAAATGCTAACGTATTTAGGGAATTTCTTCCTCTTGAATTCTAAAAATGCTTGTGTCTAATTAGGTTAAAACATTTATGGATCACCTACTTTGAATGGACTCTCATGCTTGGTCTACAGGGAGAAAAAGGGTAGCCAAGGATATGTGAGAATTAGCTCTTGTCCTTGCTCCTCAAAAAAAATGATCTGGCCAGGGGAAAAATGCATTAAACAACTAGAACAAAGGAACAGAACAACTTTAACAAAAACAATGATTTTTGTATGTAATGGAGAACCTAAGTAACAGAGAGAATAATCTGAGTTACAGGAGTTACACTAAACTTCCCAATTATGAGCCTAACTCACATTATCTGAGAATACACTATACAGAGAGGCGACCTAACTCTTCCGCAGCCGCACAGCCAATTTATGCGAGGTCTGAAAGAAGAAAACCTAGGCCTCTCTCATTTCCTAGTAGTAAAGCCCTTTCATTCGAAAGTGGAGCTCATGTTTCCTGAGATTGCAGGTTCTTCACAGAGTTATAAGAAAGAGAAAGTTTAAGATTCAACTCAACAAATAAAGGCAGAAATGGACAAATCAATCTTAGGCAGACTGCTTTGGAGGTATGCAGAATCTGGACCCTTCCAAAAAAAAGTCACTCCAGCAAGAACCAGGCAAGTAGTTACTAAATATATGTTTAAAAAAATATATAAGAATGGTAAGTAAGTGAAGGTAAAGGGAATGAATAAGACAAATTACTGCAACAGACTGAATGTTTGTGTTCCCCCAAAATTCATATGTTGAAAACCTAACCCCCATTGTGAAGCATTTAGGAGGTAGCGTCTTTGAGAGGCGATTCAGTCATGAGGGTAGAGCCCTCACACATGGGATTAACGCCCTTGTAATCCAAAGCCAGAAAGCCAGTCCGCTGTCTTTTCACTATGTGAGGAGGACACAATGAGAAGCTGGCAGTCTGCAACCCGGAAGGGAGTCCTCACCAGAACCTAACCATGCTGGCACCCTGATCTCAGACTTCCAGTCTCCAGAACGGTGAGAAATAAATTTCTGTTGTTTATAAGCCACCCAGTCTTTGTTGTAAGAGCCCTAACACAACTACAAAGAGACATTATTAATGCAATGAAACCCCCATATCTCAGCTCCTGCTATGTGCCTCTCACAGTGCAGGCAACACAAAGAATACAAGAGAAGCACATGGCAGGATCCATGCCTGTAGAGGCCTCCTTATCTAATTGGGGAAACAAAATATGTAATTGAGGAAAAAAAAATTCTAATAAGTAACAAAGTCCCCCAGCCTAAGAAGCAAAGCCAGGTAAACATGGAGGCCTGGAACAGAATTGTGAAACAGGGCTTTGCCCTTGGCACCTCTTGGTCTCCTCTCTGGGGGCCTCTCACCCCTCAAGTGCGTTCCCACCCCATCCCTTCCAACCAGGGCAATAGGGCCTGTAGGCACGGGAGTAGCCAAAGGGCTTAACCACGTCTCACAGCCAAACAAAAGACAGGAAGGGAACCCTAGACAGAAAAGGTGGACAGAGAAAGCACACCTGACTGCAGCAGCAATGTTAACTGCTAGGCTGGGGGTGAGCTCCCGTCTGAGGCTTGAAGAGGAGCAAGAGGCAAGTTATTCTCTCCTCAGGAGCAAACCCTTAGAGGTGCTGTCAATCCTTCCTAGGCCCAGCCCAATCCCATCAGCTCTCTTCCTAAATCCTGAGACAACAGGGGAGAGCAGGAGAAAAGTTCTGATTAGCTGAAAGGGCAAGAAACAGAGAGGTTTATTTAAAAATGAAGGTGGAGTGGGATATCTGATGTTACACAAGTCAAAAAGGCAGCCACATATTTAATCTGCTATACATCTCTCTTCTCATTTACTTTTTTTTCCTGGTACTCATAATTACAAAAACAATTTTTTTTTCAAAATCAATAGTTAAAAAAAAATCCAACGTGCTCAAGGGCTGCATTTCTTGCTTCCTCCAACTATGAATATTTCTAGCATGGAAGGATGCAGGGCAGAGGCCCTGGTATCTCTCCTTCAGAAGGATTAACAAGTAACGTAATACAACCAGTCTCACAGTTTGTTGTTACCAGGCTCCCTTTCTTCTACCTAAAATTCACTCAAACACAGTCACTCCCTCCATCATCAGTGCTCATGCAGAAGAAAAGTCAGAAGCTCCCGTTGCCAGCCTATAAAATCTCTCCATTCAAAAAAGTTAAACTAGATAATATTTCTGATTATGAATCTTTTTCAAAGTATCTTAATTTTTCTCGAAAAGGGTATCTGAGAAGAATATACTGATAGATTTTTTTCATACCACCAATTTTCCCATGGCCTTTTATATATTTCCCTCAAGAGCCTATGGTAAAAACACACATGACCACAAAATTTAAACAACCAGTAAAGGTTCAGTTAGCAATATCATGAATAACCAAAGAATGCAGAAGAACCCCAACAGTTATACTTGTGTCTTCTCACCAATAAACTCATGGGCAAAAAGAGACAAAGTTAATTCCATGAAAACCCACATATATATATATATATATATATATATATATATATATATATATATATATATACACACACACACACAACTAATAGCCCATATTTATTACTAAAAAGTAGATCAAACTAGAAAAATATAAGCATTGTTATTCTTACTTTGAGTAGAAAAAAAATTTAAAGTCTTATTTTAGTACATGAGACAATAAGGAAAATAGAGAAAAGGGAGTAAGAAATAGTAAGAAGGGAAAGAAGGTGGTCGTCTGAGAAAACAAAATTTATAGACTTCACATATGGCTTAAATCATTTGAGCAAGAGGTTGAGAATTACGTTTTAAATAGAATGAACAAGGAAACACTGACACTCTTGTAGCTGACAGACGAGGGCAGAATTGCAGGGAGAGCATCACATTGTCTGAGAACACTGGCAGGTTTAATTCATGCTAAACATGTTATAATTGGGAATCAATATGGGGCAGAGTCTACTTAAATAAACTCCGAGGGCTTGTCTAAGCAACCTTGTTAATGTCATGTTGCACTTTATTAAATGATACTCAGAATAAAAAGCTGTTGGAAAACTTCGTTTTAAAGAGGTATTCTTTGCAATCAGAGCATTCGACGTTCACGATAAATCTCACTTTACATGAAAGGAAACAAATGCTGAGAAAATGAATTAGTGCTCAAGGTTGCAGACAGTGGCCATGAAATTGCTGTCAATTTCTGATATGGGCAGATATACCAGGACATTCTGAATGTCCATGAACATAGTTTTCACGATCATAGGTAGAAGGAGGAAAATGTATCTTTAGATGCTCACTGATAGGATTAGGTCCTATCAAAGGAAGATGTGGTTAGGGAAGGTGTGAAAGTGGCAGGTAGAGAATGGCTAACCACGAACTGTGATGTAGACCAGCTCTGGAATTCTGATGTTCAATAACTTCATCAGCAAGCACGTATGCATACTGTTGGGATGAAAAGGCAGAAAATAGAACCTGGGCAGGACAGTTCCCTAAGTACCATGCCCATAAGCATCCCATAAGGTAGTTATGATTCCCATTCTAAAAATAAAAACATTGAGGCTGAAATGAAATATTCTGCCCAAAGTCACATTTCTAAAAAATGATAGGGACAGGATAGAAATGCAGATCTATCTGGCCACAGGACTCAAAGTCTATCAATGCTACCAAGCGGTCACTGAAAAGAAACAGGAGCACTGTACACAGGGAGGAGAGAACGGGACCAAGGACCAGTTTGGGTAAAAGATGTTTGCGCATAGAAAGAGTAGAAAGAAATTCAGAAAGAGAAGTTGGAATCAGCCTGTGTCTTTATGCCAACTTATAAAGCACCTTGTCCTGCAGCCAGGTGGGAACCATAGAACTCTGGAAATAAAATAAAGATATAAGAATTGAGGCAAAGAGACTAAAGAACTTAAGGTAACAGGGTTAATGGAAGGAAAAAATGGAGGGGTATGTGGAGAAACACCAGAGGAAACCAAAAGTTAAAATCCAGGACTGTATTAATATGGGATTTTGCTCTCTCAAAGTAAAAATATGATTTTCTAAGTTGAGAGTCTCTAAATAATGTCTAACATTTAATGCCTGGTAAATACTGTTCTAATGACAATAATTAATTTCAGAAGTGATCCAGTAAGTTCTTTCCAGTGGAAAAGAAACAGCTTTTGATAGTCAGGGAAGCATATTCCTCCCTGTCTGCCTTCTTCCTTGTCTGTGATGGGCCCTCTAAAGGGGTGTGCTGATAGGAATGGGTCATGTTTGAGGACATGGCATCAGCCACAGCTTTGCTTGTTTGAAAAGTGAAGGCAAAGATTCAACAGTGGGCATGGAAAGAAAAAGGCTGAGAGGAGCTGCCTCTTTCTGTGGTTCATAGGAAGAATAGGGCAGTTCAGGGCTGGGGGTTTCAGTCCTAGGCCCTCAGGGATCTGCATCCAAAGTCCTGCCTCCACCACCCCCCGTGCACATTTATCCTGCAGGAACCTCATGGGGAGTAGCCTATGGCAGGATGGGAATAAAGGATTCAGGATCCCTGGCTCTTGGCCATCTTTCAGAATCTCTCTATACCCTGGAGAGAGCAGATGTCTTTATTGTTGCTAAAGAATCTTCAACAAGGGCTTCAAATTAATTCCTGATTCTATGAGAACAAACATAATTTTGTTTTGTTTTTGTAGAAAAATTATATATGCACAAATTTGAGTTAATCTTTCACTTATACTGTAAGATTAATGCTTCTTTAAAGTTAAAATTGAAGATTTTAATCTTCTGGCAACGTGTGGTTATCTACATACAAATCTTCCTGTTCAGAAGAAACATGGATATATGTTAAGACCAATTAGATACAATTCTATATTTTTTGCTTTTTATTTTTAAAAATTCAATACAGGGGATGGGGATCTTCACAGAGTCTGAAGAGAAACTGGAGCAAATGTTTTATCTCTGCTGTTTTCACCTCAGCAGTCAGCAGCTGGGTTGAGAAAGTTGATCCCAATCTCCATCACCCTTCAGTAACAAACTACATTCTTTCCTCAACCAGCAGTTGAAGAAGCCCTGCTGAATCTCTTCTCTTCAGACTCTCTTTCAACAAAAGCTGCATTTCTCTAAGGAAACACTAACTTGTTCTCTGTATGTGGTGCCACCATGATCCAGCTACTTGAAGGGAAGTGTAAGAGCCTTAAATAATTCATTGAAATGACGGGCTGTTTGTGCTGCCATGGGTCACTCCACTCACAGCTGTGCAGGTCCAAATAGAGCCAGGACCATCATTCTTACCCTGACACAGAGTCATAAATAAAGACAGAGCCTTCTGCAGTATTAGAATGCATTCCCTTATAAAGTCACACTCAATCACTGGCTCAAATGAAACTAATGCTCCAAGTTCAGGGAGAAAGTGAACAAAACACACTATGTGAGGTAGTAATCCACCAAATGTCAACATTTGTATGGAACTTATTTTTACAGTAATAAGCCAAGTTATTTTCCTTTATCACAACTGGAGTCTTACAAACCCAGCTGTTGAACAACACTTGTCGAAGATGTCAAAATGTCTTTCAACATTTAGAAAGTCACCTAGCCATTATTCCTGTGCAACACACAGGTGGCCATAAGAATCAAATTTGACAGATATAAAAAATAAGATATCTGTATGGGAAATACAATTCCCCATTTCCCAATCATCCAGCCCAGCAATTTCCCTACCACTCAGCACTGGGATAGAATCAGACTTCTCAAAAAAACAGATTCATGCTTTTTCACAATTGCTACTAAACATGTATCCTTTCTGAATAATCTTCCAGTTCTTTGTTGTCTATATAACCCACAAATACTATTTATATTGATTCCAAGAGTTAAGAATTCAGGGTAATTAAACTAGACTGAGGTCTCATGTTCTACCCCAGCACTGCTCTACCCCAGTGGGGTCTCAGCCTACCCCACCATTACCTTCTTCTAGAGAAATTGCCAGGCCCATAGCCCTTACTAAAGCAAATACCCTTAAATCACAGCTGTTTGGACCAGGAGAGAGCATCAGCAGCTCTAAAATTGCATGGTATAAAGTTTAACCATCAGGATGATAGTTACTACAAAACCTATCATACTCCTTTTCTTCTTTTGGAGTTTGGTCTATACACAGATCATTGGTTAGGTTGTGGGAACGATAAATGGAAGCAAGAACATGAGGAACAAGAGAGAATCTAAAATGGAAATGCTGAACCACATTAATGATCTAAAAGTAGAATATGGACTGACCAACACTGTTAGTGCAGACACACCCTGGAGTTACAAAAGATCAGAACAATCTTCCTGCTCCTAAGTCCTGACTCCATGAGGTCCAGCCAGACTATTCTCTCATCCTAAAAACCCCTGAGATTCTTTGCAGACTTGCCACATGACTGAAATTCTGTTTTCCTTATTTTCTCGTGCATCTTTAGTTAAGCCTTCCATTTTTTAAAGTAACTTGAGTTTCCACTCTTGTAATCAAAATAGGCTATGTAGGCCCCTTGGCAAGATGTCTAAAAGTGTTCTCCTTTTCTTTGCTAATTGTAGAACAATTCTCAGACCTCTCAATAGTCTACACATAACCTCACAAATTTAGGGGCTACTTTGCCAATATGTGCAATCACAGAGAAAAAAAGTAAATGGCTGGCAAAGCCTTTCTCCCTTGGATTGTCTGTAAATTTCTCTTATTGATTTTTCCCTCAGTAGATCACTGTCATGTAGACAAGAGTCTACTTTCAAGTAGATGTAGGAGATTTAGCTGCAGTGAATCAAAATAAAAATGCAGCATCTTGTGGGAGCCTCAGTAGTTCCTCTACTCTCTGTGGCACAGACAACCCCCTGTGGTTTCTGGGTTGGTATCAAGCCTCTGAAAGCAAGTCTTGCAGTAGGAGACCCTGATTCTCCTGATCCCAATAGAATAATATTGGCTACCAACAGCACTGCCAGCACCGGGGAAAGATTAGGTGATATTAGAAATTAATGAACCAGACACTCAGAGCACCTGCATCTTCCCTGACTCTAATTACTCCTCCCTCTCCCCATCAAAAAAGAAACAAACAGAAAACCCATCAAACTCATCTCTTTCTAGCAGTCAGTGATTCTCAATCAGAGGGTATTTGGAAATGTAGGGGGACATCTTGATTGACACAATGACTTGGTTAGAATAATATGGGCATTTTGTGACCAGAGAGCCCAAACATCCTATAACAGACAGGAAAATTCTACATAACAATGATTCATTCCATCAAAATGCTAATAGCACCCCCCTTGAGAAAACTGAGCCCCCTCCAACATTTAGGGCAGAAAAAAATGGGTAAGAAAGGCAAACCAAAAGGAAAAGAACATTTTAAAAATCTATAGCTAACATCATATTAAATGGTGAGAAACTAGAAACTAGAAGTTTTCCTATTGAGATCAGGAACAAAGCAGGGAAGTGCACTGTCACTACTTTTTTTTTTTTTTTTCAAACATTGTACTAGAAGTCCTGGGTAATGCAATAGAACAATAAAATAAAATTAAATTAAATTAAAATAAAAGGAATACAGATTGGGAAGGAAGAAATAAAAGTATCTTTGTTCAGATGATATAATATGATCACCTGGGTAGAAAATCTGAAGGAATCAACAAAAAACCTCTGGAACTAGTAAAGCAATTATAACAAGGTTGCAGGATACTAGAATAATATACAAAGGTCAACTGTTTTCCTACATATCAGCAATAAACAAATGAAATTTGAAATAAAAAACACAATACCATTTATATTAGTATCTCCAAAAATGAAATACTTAGGTATAAATCTAACAAAATGTGTACAAGATCTATATGAGGAAAACTACAAAACTCTGGTGAAAGAACTCAAAGAAAGACTAAATAGATATTCCATGATCATTATAGACTCAATATTGTCAAGATATCAGTTCTTCTCAATTCGATCTGTAGAATCAACAAAATCCCAATCAAAATCCCAGCAAGTTATTTTGTGGCTACCAACAAATTGGTTCTAATGTGTATATGGAGAGGCAAAACACGCAGAATAGCCAACACAATATTAAAGCAGAACTGAGTTGAAAGACTGACACTACCTGACCTCAAGACCTACTATAAAGTGCCATAATCAAGACAGTATGGTATTGATAAAATAACAGACCTATAGACCAATAGAACAGAATAGAGAGCCTAGAAATATACCTACATCCAGATAGTCAGCTGATCTTTGCCAAAGGAGTAAAGGCAGTACAACAAAGCAACAAATGATGCTGGTAAAATTGGACATCCAATGCAAAATATATTAATCTAGACACAGACCTTACACTCTTTACAAAAATTAACTCAAAATGGATCACAGGCCTAAATGTAAAGGACAAAACTATAAAACTCATAGAAGATAACACAGGAAAAAACCTAAATGATCTTGGGTATGGCAATGACTTTTTAGATACAACACAAAAGGCATGATCCATGAAAGAAAGAACTTATAAGCTGGGCTTCTTTATAATTCAAAATGTCTGTTCTCTGAAACATCAGGTCAAGAGAATAAGAAGACAATCCACAGATTGGGAAAAAATATTTTCAAAAGACATATTTGACAAAGGACCATTATCCAAAATCTATAAAAAACTTAAAAGTCGACAGTAAGAAAACAACCTGAGTAAAAAATAGTCCAAAGACCTTAACAGATATCTCATCAAAGAAGACATACAGATGGCAAGTATGCATATCAAAAGATGTTCTACATCATTTGTTATCAGGGAAATGCAAATTAAAACAACACAACACTGAGCTATCATTACACATTTATTAGAATGGCCAAAATCTGAAACGCTGACAATACCAAATGCTTGCAAGGATGTGGTGCAACAAGAACTCTCATTCATTGCTGGTGAGAATGCAAAATGTTAGTCATTTTGAAAGACAGTTTGGCAGTTTCTTACTAAATAAAACATACTCTCACCATATGAGGCAGCAATCATGGTCCTTGGAATGTTCCCAAAGGAGTTAAAAATTTATGTCCACAAAAAAAAAAAAAACTCGCACACAGATTTTTATATCAGCTTTATTCATGATTGCCAAAACATGGAAGCAACCAAGATGTCCTTCAGTAGGTGAATGGACAAACTGTGGTATACCCAGATAATGGAATATTATTCAGTGCTAAAAGGAAATGAGCTATCAAACCATGAAAGACATAGAGGAAACTTACATGTTGATTATTGAGTAAAATAAGCCAATCTGAAAAGGCTACATATTACATGATATTCTAGAGAAGGCAAAACTATGGAGATAGTAAAAAAAAAAAAATCAGTGGTTTCTGGGGTTTAGTGAAGGGCAAAGGGGTGGGAGATATGAAAAGGCAGAGCATGAAGGATTTTTAGGGCAGTGAAAATACCTATAGACTATAATGATGGATACATGTGATTATACATTGGTCTAAAACCAAAGAATGTACAACACCAAGAATATACCCTAATGTGAACTATAAACTTTGGGTGATTATGATGTGTCAATGTAGGTTCATCAGTTCTAACAAATGTGCCATTCTGGTGGGTGATGCTGACATTGGGGGAGGCCATGCATGTATAGGGAGTAGGAGGAGTAGGAGGTATATGGGAAATCTGTATCTTCCTCTCAATTTTGCTTGAACTTAAAACTGTTCAAATAAACAAATGAGTGAATAAACTATTTTTAAAGAGAGAAAGAAAGAAAGGCAGGAAGAGAACAAGCAATGCATCCATCAAAAGAAAAACAGCAGGGTTAAGACTATTCAGGGATCAAGTCCAGGTTCTATCCACCTCCTTCCCCTCAACTCCAGCAATACTACTAATTGCCACAAACTCCTTATTCCTATTCCCTCTCCTATGCACAAGAATCTTGGGCTCAGGAAACTTTATATCTTTGAAAAATTGTGTGTCTATATTTCCACATCTTTTCATTTGTTCTAATTATAATTTCTGAGCAACTAATATTGGTAATATTAATACATAATATCAACTGAAAATTCTTCCATGTTGCCAAAGGGCTTAATTACTAAATCTGTGCTGTAATATGTCTGTTGGAAAACTTGCTTTAGAGACTAATTCTTCAGGGGATAATTCCTCAGCGGTGAAGTCTGAGTATTAATACCCTCTTATGAAACACTTTTTTTGAGCCAAGCTGGAAATTGGAAGTAGGGGAGGTGAAAATTTTCTTGCCACCTCTTCCAGACTCTTTGTAAAGCTCTAGGCAGTATCAAAAGAGACACCTTGCACAAACAAGCCTCACCACGAAGGGTCAGGGCATAGAGAGACCAAATGGAAAAAGACAGCTCAGCAGCCTTGGATTAAAGGGCAAATGTTTCAGAGGCTGCGGATTTGATTATGTCAGAGATGTACCCATGGCACTTTCTGTAGCAGACAGATACCAGAGCAAGGTAAAAAGTTCAGCAAGATAGAGTCACAGACTGAAAAGTTTCCCCAGGATGGAGAAGCCCAAAACTCAATTCTGTTTTAAATGAGTTGAGGTCTTGTTATAACAAGAGCATACTATCATTCTAAATGTAAGTTTCTGACAAACAGGGGTCTTCACAGGCTAAAACAGTGCTGTCTAACAGATTTCTCTGATGATGGACATACTCCCTATCTGCAATGTCCAATATGGTAGCCACTAACCACAAGTGGGTACAGAGCACTTGAAATGTGGCTAGTGCAATGAAGAACTGAATTTCAATTTAATTTTAATTAATTTAAATAAGAAAAAGCCACATGTGGCTAGTGGCTACTGTATTAGACAATGCAGGAAAAGGCTTAAGGCATCATTTGAGAAAATTATCCAAGAGGTTATCACAAGAAAAGCTTATATATGTTCTGACCACCTGGAAAAATACTTTATCTGCGCCCTCCCCATCATAAACACACACAGACATCATTTGTAAGAAGTAACTACGTCAGAAACCACTAACAAAGCAATGCTTCTCAAATTTTAGCATCCATCAGGATCACTGGGAGTCTTGTTAAAACACAGATTATTACGCCCACTCCCAGAAATTTTGATTTAATAGGTTTGTACATTTCTAACAAGTATAAATGATTCTCATGCTGCTGGTTCAGAGGCCACACTTTGAGTAGTACTAGAACAAAAACTTCAACATTCAAACACCAGCCTACTCCTAACAAAGTGGAGCTTCTTTCACTTTTCACCTCTCTTCCACACCAAAGTGCCTCTTTCTTCAAGGTACATGGAATCCTTCTTAAACATTCTTATAAGTTTTGCTTAACACCTAGGGCTAAAAATGTATGAAGAATGCAAATAAACAAGGCTATACATGATGGCTTCTCTACATAGTAGATCCAAAATACAGTGCATTTGTTGGAAACTTTGTAAGCAAGTCTAATAATCACAGGGACCAGAAACACAGCAAGGGGGAATGCAAACCTGCCAGGACAGTTTACATCTAATCCCTGCACTGGCCTTGTTTTAGAGTTAAACTGAGCCTTTTAATTAAAATAATGCAGGTTACACTTCAGGTCTAGGTCAGAGTTATGGCCTCTTTGACCATTCCAACACATAGTACTAGAAAACTGTCAAAAGAACATGTCATATTAAAACATTTACATTTATAATTCAAAGGGCATATATTAAAGATAATCCCTTTCCATATTCCTAAAGAAGAGAAGAAATAGAAATGTAAAAGTTTCTAGAATAAACACTGATCTCCAAACATTCTCTGGTCTTTACTGTATTGTCTGCAAAAACTGATCTGGACTAGCAGTCATTTGGGACGATAGTTTTCCTTTGGAGGCTATTTCTTTATGTCCTTTGGTCTAATTATACATGAGTCACTTTAACATTAGCAGATCACCTTGTCAAATGCAATTTCCTTGACTGCTCTTTTGAACAGCCTTCTTTCTGCCTCATCCACTCTTCCCTTTTTTTTAACTTTGCAAAGGAAAGTTTTCATCCAGAATATATTATCACAATGAACCAGAACATGAAGCCCTTGAATAAACTCAAGAGTCCAGCATTCTTCATTATTTCCCATACCACAGACCTTCGCCCTTCTTCAAACTCCACTGTTCCTCAGTTAGTGCCATCACAAGAATTAAGAATTACCCTTGGGTCCTAGAAATTTGGGAAGACGAATATCGCTTCTTAGAAATGACAGAGCCCCCAAGGAGTCACACAGTACTATGTACATTACTTCATTAGACTATTTAGCTATTTATGTGTGTATATTTTACAGATAGGGAAAGTGAAACAAAATGAAGTTAAATGATTAAAATACGATACCAGAGAAATTCAGAGCAAGATTGAATCACTATATCCCTTCAGCAGTGTTTCTCAACCAGGGGCAATTCTGCTCTCCAGGGGACATTTGGCAATGTCTGGAGACATTTCTGATTGTCACAAACAGGGAGGGAGATACTGGCATTTCGTGGGTGGAGGTCAAAGACACTGCTGAACATCCTACAATGCACAGGACACTCCACACAAGAATTGCCTGGCTCAAAGTGTCAATAAATAGTGTAAGGTTGAGAAACTAACTCTGGTCCACTGGCATCTCTAGCATTACTTTATTTGACCCCAAATCAATAATTAAAGAATGGCTCCCTCCACAATGTAGTCCTTGTATAGTATTTACACAGCAACATACCAGCCAAGTGCTATTTCTGACATGCTATACTTTTTAGTTACTTTTAAAATAGAGGATATACAGGATATACTTTTAAAATACAGGATATACAGGATATAGAGGAAATTGAGCAAAGTTAGCAAAGACCAGCTCCTTTCTTTTAATGAGAAAATCTAGAAAAGACCAGCTCCTTTTCTTAGCTACCTCCAGGTGCTGAGCTATAGTCTGCATCGGGCTGCTCACCTGGACTCTTCTGCTGACGTACTTTGCAGCTGCCCTTTCTTTGCTTTATCTCCAAGCATGTGCATCACTTTAGAGCAATAATGATGTACATTTATTGGAATCTCCAGAGATCTCCATCCTCTAATTGTCTATTTTGTTCAGTAAATTGTACTCATTACTGAGCCACATGAGGCCCCGAAAGATACCAGCCTTTTCTGGGTGCCCTCTGTCTGAGCCTGGATAATGGGACATTATCTAGCAAAGGTTCAGCAGTATTGAGCCAAGCTGCTTAAAACAACCCTTCAGTTAAGTATGTTTCTTTAACCTCCTATCCCTCATTCTTAACCATCCTCAGCTTTTCTTATATTTATATGAATCATAATTTTCCCTTCAAGGAGGCTGGTTTTAGTTTAAGCTCTAGAAATTGGAGAGCTCAGAAAGGATGTGATGTCCTTTCCACACCAAACAGTTAATTTCTCCTTCTGGTCTCAAAAATCTGCAGCACAAGTGAAAATTCAAAACCAGTTTTGGTTATAACATTGCCAGTGCCCACATGCATTGTACTAGGGGCTGCAAATAGATGAGGCATGAATGGGCATGTGACTTCCAGTGATGCTGGATAAAATAAAATGGAACAGGCAAAACCATGTACTTTGCTAGTGCTATTATACACCAAATCTGGAATTTTCAACACTTTGAGAAGTTATTTCCTTCACTAAAAAAGTGATTAATGAAGCAAAAGTTAAGCAGAGTAATCAAAGAAGAAAGAAGGTGGTAGGTGAGGGAAACAGGAGCTACCAGAGCTAACATATGACATGGCTATAAGGAAATGATAATCAGGCCCTGTTCCCATCTTTACAGTGCACCTCAAGAGGGCTCAACAGCCCCTCCCATATAAATCACACCCTAAACGAACTCACTAAAAACTCCTGTTTTGAAATATTTCCATGCATAGATTCCATCCCATCACCTCGGTCATGGTTTTCTCTTCATAACTGCTGATTTGCATGGTATCTATGAGTTGAATCAATAAAGGCTTTTAGGAGCCTTTCACAGACAGGGCATCATATTGCACTGACTCCAAGAGACAGGTGAGACAATAGCCTCTATGAATTGGAAAAGCAAGAAAAACAATGGCAGAGAATGCCTTTGCCTTACCCTGGAGTAGAGGGTGTGGAAGCCTTCAAACGCACTTACATCCTCATGACCCATCGGCTCTGCTGCTTTTCACTGCTCATTCATTTCTGCATGTTGGATGACCACCAATCTATCACCAACTGGCAAAGATGAAAATGAAAAAATGCATTAGGCCAAAGGAACTTCAAGTCCCAAGTCACTGCTGAAGTGAATATGAGAGTAGACTAAGTGCTTACCCAAACATGTATAATAGCTCAAGTTCAATAAAAATTTATTTCTGATTCATGTATGCATACTGGACAGGTGAATATGTAGGTGGGGTGGACCTAATGCAGTGATCCAGGTACCCACGCTGACAAAAGTCCTGCCATGTTTAAAACATAATTTCCAAGGTTGCCCTATGGGTCCTCTCCATTCCAGTCAGCTAAGAATGGAAAACAGTATGAAGAAGCTTGCATGAGCATTCTCTGTGCTTTTTTTCCTAGAAGTGGATCACAATACTTTTCCACTTCCATCACATTCTGTTGGTTGGCTAAAACTCAATTACACAGTCACACTTAACCTTATGGGCTGCAGGGCAGTGACCAGACTCCATTGTACAAAAGTGACTTCAGCCCAATCATGAAGAAAGACAGCATTAAGTTTAGAGTAGAGGGTTCTGAGTGAGACACTAGCACAGTAACCTTGACTTAGTTACTTAACTACTCTGAGTCTCAGTTTCCTCAACTGTAAAATACTGTTCCTCTCTCATAGGGCCAATGTAAGACTCAAAAGGACCAGGTGCGGTGGCTCACGCCTGTAATCCCAGCACTTTGGGAGGTTGAGGTGGGCGGATCACAAGATCAGGCGATCAAGACCAGCCTGGCTAACATGGTGAAACCCCGTCTCTATTAAAAAATACAAAAAATTAGCCGGGCATGGTGGCGGGTGCCTGTAGTCCCAGCTACTCGGGAGGCTGAGGCAGGAGAATGGCGTGAACCCAGAAGGCGGAGCTTGCAGTGAGCTGAGATCACGCCACTGCACTCCAGCCTGGGCAACAGAATGAGACTCCGTCTCAAAAAAAAAAGAAAAAAAAAAAAAGCAGCACTTCAGAATTTTTTTAAGAGACAGGGTCTCACTATGTACTGTGTGATCACAGCTCACTGCAGCCTAAAACTCCTCAGCTCAAGTGATCCTCGCACCTCAGCCTCCTGGGTAGTTAGGGCTACAGAAATGTGCCACCAGGCCCAGCTAATTTTTTCTTAAATGTATATAGTGATGGAGTCTCACTATGTTATCCAGGGTGGTCTCAGACTCCTGGCCTCAAGCAATTCTCCTGCCTCAGCCTCTCAAAGCACCAGCTTCTTCTCAAAGGCACGAGCCACCAACTTCTTGGACTTTAAGGTGCATGTGCATCCTCAAGGCATCTTGATAAAAATGCAGGTTCGGGTTTGTTAGGTCATGGGTGAAGCCAGAGATTCTGCATTTCTAACCAGCTCCCACATAATACTGATGCTGTTGTCCTTTGGCATTTTGAGTAGAAAATAGATACAGGATTAGAGAACATTTTTGAAAACCATAAAATGATTTGCAGATATAAAGAATTATTATCCTGGCACTAATTGATTATAAATAAATTCCCAATTAGGCAGCATTTTTTAGGATATGTTTAGTCTGGGTACCAGGTACAATTTCTTAGAGTCACAGGATTTTGGAACAGGAAACAAAGTAGTCACGACTCTCCTACTCTCTCCCCTTATTTTCCAAACAAGGAAACAAGCTCAGAGAAATCAATCATGCCCCCAAAATCTCAAAATAACTCAGCAATATACTGAGATTAGAATGCAGAAAATTGACATTACATAACATAATTAGGTTATTACATAAACCCAAATATAACCTTCTAAAGAAGAAAAGGTAATTTCTATTCTTCTACTAAAGCAATAATAAATATTACTTTGGCCAAAAAGATACATAGCCAAAAAGATGCCAGCAGGTGAATTCACCAACATGGGTCACCATGGCACCAAAAGTAGGCAAGGTGTCACAGGACACAAAGCAAGAGATTTTCAAGCAAATGTTCTTCAAAATTCAAAAATTTTGCATGTTTTAAACAAGGATTTTTATTTCCAATACATACAAACTCCCAGTCACTCTTATTTGGAAACAATTAGGAAAAGTGAGAATTTGGGATTACAAATAGAAAAGGAAAATAATTAGCCAAGGAGGAGCAGCAATTTCTGTGGTAAACCCTGGGTACAAATAAAGGAACCTAAGGATTTTTTTTTAATTCCTAGCATGTAAATTATTTTGCCTCTCTGGGATCATGGTGAGTCCTAGGAGCCTAGAGTTGAACATGAGGTGTACTACCTCAGAAGTCAAAAACTCCAAGTCATGAATTAGAAGGGAACTGAACATCTGGAAATCAAGTCAGATTGGGGGAGAAGGGAGCCTCTTAGTATGCATGTCATCGCCAATAAAGCAACATGAATTTGAAAGTGTTTTGGTAAAATTAGGAAAGAGTACTTATTGAGGAAGGAATGATAAATGGAAATCAATACTCGCATATACATTATTAATTTAAGATGGGTAAAATGCTATTAGCATCATTTAGTGAGCAATTTTTTAAAAGGTAAAAATGTTCCTACAAACTTCAATAAGTTTACCCCATATCTTACCCCTAACACTCTTCCACCCTAATGTCTTTTAGCTCCTCAGACAAGAACTCAGAATTCTTACCCTATTTTGTGTGTGTGTGCCACAGACCTCTTTTGTAGTCTCTTGAAGCCTAAGGACCTCCTTCTCAGAATTATGTGTGAAATGTATAAGATCAAATACATAAGATTACAAATGAAGTGAATTATATGAAAGATTCTCCTATCCAGAGAGATGTTGGGGAGTCCATGGACCCAACTTAAGAACATCTGATTGAGGAATGATTCTTCTAGGATGATGAAAGTTTTTTCTTACAGGAAACAGCATATGCAGAAAAGTTTTTAAAGCCTAAAGATGCGCAGTGAAAAATCCTGCTCACAATCAATCAGTGAAGAAAAGAATGAGCTGCAAAGAGAAGCCTGACCTTGAACTTCTGCCAAAACTCAAAGCTATTCATGCTGTTGCTTTAAAGCCCTACATTAAGGAATTACTCAGAAAATTTTCTTGGCCCCAGCCCTGTAGACACAGCATATTCTGTGGCCTGATGGCAGATGAAATAAAGCAGCATTGGAGAAGGGAAAACTATATTGAGTCCTGAGCTTGCATCCTAGTCCTCTAACTAGTTCTCTGCCACTAACTAGCTCTGTTACCTTGGTCAAGAAACTCAACTCTGAACTGAGCTGTCTATAAATTGAGAAGGTTAAGTTAAATCATCTTCAAGAGTTTCTTCCTACTCTGAACTGTTAGGATCCTAAGGTAATGCACAACCACTTTTCTGGGAGGAAACATTAGCAAGACTTCTTTTTGCCCTAAGCTCACAGTATGAAAATATTTTATAAATAATTTTTAGTCTTCAGAAATAACTTATGAGAATCACCTAACCATATAACTTTAGACTTGGAAGAGATTTTAAGAGACATCCACCATCTCATCAATCTCAGGTGATAAAAGTAAGGTTCAGAAAGGTGAATAGATTTATTTTTAGTCACATAATAAGATGGCATTAATGGACTGTTGGCCTACCACTACCTAGCACAAGCAGGATTTTAGTATTTAGCATTGGTAGTAAAGACAAGCTCATCAGTTCACTTGAGAGACAGAAAGAAACCTCAAATAACCTAAGCCATAGGATGGGAACTACACAAAGCAGCAGGTGACTGGGGTAATTGCACCTAGAGGTAGCATCCTATACCTCAGGCAGAGTCAAAGCCGGGGCCCTCATTATACACTATAACCTTCCCATCTCAAAGAACAGTAAATAACAGCTAGAGAACAAAGAATAGTTATTTCAAAATAGGTGGATGGATGAATTAACCCTGACTAATAACATCATTAAAACCAAAGCACAAGTTTGGGGCTGCTAATATAATATTGAAAGGTCCACATTAACTAAGAAGATCTAAAAACACATTAGGAATTTTCAAGTTTTAGAAGAAACGAATTAAGAATTGTTTTGACCTATCTTCTGTGGACAGCCCTGAAATATAGTGACTACTTTATCAGCATTATTTTTACTAATACTCTCACTGCTGTCTTCAGAGCATGTACTTACCAGCTACTGTTCAGGTTTAAAAGTCACATGTATATTTCCATAGTCCCATC
This sequence comes from Homo sapiens, assembly GCF_000001405.40. Classification (NCBI taxonomy): domain Eukaryota; kingdom Metazoa; phylum Chordata; class Mammalia; order Primates; family Hominidae; genus Homo; species Homo sapiens. Next base: position 133,041,805 of record NC_000003.12, on the reverse strand, counting down.
CATGTGTGTAGACTAGCTTCACATGCAAATAATTAGAAACGATTAAGTTGTTGGAAAGTTGGATCAAATCATGATTATTATGTTTAATTAACCAATACATATGCCGGGTGCGTTTAAAGCCTATGCTATGATGCTTGTCAGTTTACTCTCTGCCTTCTCCCTTCAGAAACGCACATGTACAGTCAATGTAATCACAGCCATTCCTCAATCCCCATGACACACGTTATTCCTACCTTATGTAAACAGTTATGGCTTTCAGAACTATTTTCTTTGAGATTTCGTTTGAGGGCTGACATAGCCTTTCAAAATCTTCTGACTAGAGGCTACACACTGCTGGTTTGCCAGCTCCATAGTTCAGCTCCTCCAGGAATTCCCAGGGGCAGCAGTGCCATCTACTGGTAAGGAGGGTACAACTTGTTTTCTGGGAGCCCTGGGGGGTGACATGAGCCAAGTGAAGGAACGGCAGCCTAGATTTAGGTCTCTGTGAGCCCTTCTTTTCTCAAGCACATTACAAGCATAACTGATGCTTACAACCTGAGACGTGTAACTACCACAGGAGCTTTCATCTTGTGAATGGCAGGTCCTCTGGAAGCCACATAAAGCCAGCCAGGCTAGCCAATGAGGCAGCTCTGCCTTGAAATGCCTCCTCAAGGATCCAAAAGCAGCCAGCAGAGCCCCACTGAATTAAACATTTCCTGGCTCTCCTCTTTCCCCAATGCTTCCCTATCAGATGATCTCACCCAGTGCCCCCACCTGTGGCTCTGTTATCCAGCTGTATCTTACAGCATGTGTCCTAAGGAAGGTACTCAGATCCCTCTCAATATGAAGGCTCTTATACTTACACAATGTGACACAGATCCTCCTCAGAGGACACTACTGCTTAGGCATGCAGGTCGGACTCTAATCTCTCTCATTCACTCTCTATGTTCCCCGTCCCTGACCCAGGGGACAGAAACGACAGAAAGGAAATGATTTTGTTGCTGCTTTGAAAGCAACACTAGTGGGCTTTTATTGAATCAGAGAATAAAACCTTGTCCTATAGGTCACTGAAGTACGTTGCTAGATGGACTAAGCTTGTTAATCTTTTTGTTGTCCCTTGCATAACCTAATCAGTGTTTCCCAACCTTTTCAAAATCCCTGCCTCCCTTCCGCAGGCCAAACAAACAATGCATACCCTTTGCGGTTTATGGAACAAAGATTAATTTCTCTCCTCTGAAAATAAAAGTGTATACTATGCCACCTACCTCACCCTCAGCATTCTTTTCTCCCCTCTACTCCATGCCACTTAAAAAAAAAAATTTTCTGGCCGGCATGGTGGCTCATGCCTGTAATCCCAGCACTTTGGGAGGCTGAGGCAGGTGGATCACGAGGTCAGGAGTTCAAGACCAGCCTGGCCAATCTGGTGAAACCCCGTCTTTACTAAAAAATACAAAAATTAGCCGGGCATGGTGCCTCACACCTGTAATCCCAGCTACTCGGGAGGCTGAGGCAGGAGAATCGTTTGAATCCAGGAGACGGAGGTTACAGTGAGCCGAGATCGCACCACTGCACTCCAGCCTGGGTGACAGACGGAGACTCCGTCTCAAAAAAAAAAAAAAACAAACAAACAAACAAAAAAAACTGTGATAAAGTTTTTAAATTATTCCCACTAATTTGGTTTGTGTGAAGTCTATCAGGTGACAACCTATATTTCACTTTACTAGGGTCATTTGTGATATTCTAAATGAGCTTTGCAGCAACTTGTTCTTTTACTTTCATTCATCTCAGAAAACCGACAAAATTTGATTTCCGGTGGCTGATAAACCTGAATTTGATACCCCTAACAAATTTAGGTGTTCCCTCTTAAAAAAATATATTTATCTTGCCTAGTAAACTGAATTCTTGGCAAGTGTAGGCATTTCACAGGCATGGGGTGTGTTTTAGAGGTTTGAAATCAGGTCATTTCCTAAAGAAACATGTTGTTGTACAGGGAATGTAAGAGCTATAAAGGGCTTTGAAGGTATCAGGATGTCTCCAAGGGACAAGGTAGAGAGACCCTTATCCATCTCATACCAGAAAGAGTTCTGAATAAATTACGTGGAAAGTCCAGAACACAGTAATATCTTCATAATGAGTTAGTTGAACCATTTCTTACAGAGTAGATTACCAGGTGTATCCAACAAATCAAGAAGTTAACCCGTGGAAAATTGAAGGGACTTTTTATGTTTGCCTATGAGCTGTCTGGGGAAATGGAGGAGAGGCAGGGAATACTTTCCATAGCTTGACCTGCTCTTAAGTTCCTGGACATACCTTCCCCTTTTTAAAGTATGATTTAAAGGCAACAATCCATCTCCCCCGGACTCCCATACAAACCTCTTTTGGCAGCCAAATGGTCTTCATCGAGCACACACTTTTCAAAGAATTAAGGACGTGTGAGTAGGTTTAGTTTAGACCCTGCCTTCCCTCTCCCCACAACCCAGTAACATGCTGAAAATAAGTAATAACCTTCCTGGGTACCCCCAGAAAAACCTGTTTGCAGAAACTACAACCTTTCCTCCGAAAAAAACCCCTATCTTCTTAAGGAAGAATCTCAGTGTGGTGGTCTGCAGTTCACTGCAGGCATTTCCCTCCTCACCATTTACCAGTCATCAGTTACGCTGCATCTGAAATTGGTTTTTGTAGACTTTCATTTAGACCGGCTCCACCGGTGCCCAACTGCTTAAAAAAAAAAATAGCCCCTGAACCAATCTCTGGATTCCTCCAGCAGGCTCAAAGCGTTCAATTTCGCTGCAACTCTGGGGTGAAAACCGCCAGGTCCAGCCGGCAGAGCAACCTCCCGGGCAGCACGGAGGCTCCGTCCCCGGCGAGGCCGCCGGCACCTAGGCAGGAGGGCTCTTCGCACAGCTGCGCTAGGAATTCGGCTCCGCTCGCGGCCGCAGGATTAGTTCGAGTCCCTCGGGCTGGCCAAAGTGACACTACATTTCTTCTTCTTCGTTTCCCCATGTGACAGGTCCCCCTGCATTAAAGCCACCTCCTCCTCGGCCCCAGCCCAGGTCCAGCGCTCCTGACGCCCGCGCCCCATCACCCGCACCCTCCACCTGGGGAGGGGGTTCATGCCAGCAACCCTCCAGGCGGGAAACAAAGGCGGAGGCAGGGCTGCCAGGTGGGCAACTCCCCTCGGGCAGACCCGTCACGCAGTGGGGAGGATGGGAAGGTGCCTGAGAGGATAGGAAAAGGGAAACCAAGGCAACCGGGGCTGCATCCTCCCTGAAGCTGGGCTCCCGGGGCAAGCTGACCCCACACCTCCCCGAGCCCCGCCCAGCCCAGCCTAACCCGCTTGCCGGGACCCAGCATGGGAAGGACTGGGGGGACGCCCCGGAGCGCCGCTTACCTCGGGAGAAGCGCTCCGGCTCCCTCCGACGGCTCAGGAGAAAGCCCCACCGCTCGCGCACGCGCTCTCGCGCACTCGCGCCTTCGCCCCTCGGGCCCCCGCGCGCGCCCCTCCGACCAGGCTCTGGCCCGCCCCGGCCTTGTCCGTCAGCGTCCGCGACAGCCAATCCGGTCGCACGGAAGGCTCAGCGCCGGTCACGTGGTGAGACCAGCCAATCACCAAATTGCCCTCGGCAGCGCCCGCTCCGATGTCTCTGGGGGTTCGGTTGCTACCTAGCAGAGCGGGTGCGAGGCGGGCACAAAGGGTCTCTGTTTTCGGGGGCTAAGTGGCACTCAGTTGATCAATTACCAGATCAATTGACTTCTCAAATTCTAATATAAATAAGAATCACTTGACTCTCTTGTTAAAATGCGGATTCTGATCCAGAAGGTCTGGGGTGGAGACCTGAGATCCTGCATTTCTAATAAGCTCCCAGGTGGCGATGACGAAGCTCTTGGTCGGAGGATCACGCTTTGAATTGCACCTGTCCGAAAGTAATGGCTGTAGCCCCAGCTCCACGTAATTTGAAACTTGCACGACCTTTCTTGTCCTTCTTCCACTGATGAGAAGCGTTCCTGTGGCTACATGGGGTGTCCCGGTGATGCTTACAGTTTGGGCACCAGCTGAGGGAAGGTGTGTTTAATCCCCACATTACCCACCCTTGGTCTATGGAGCAGCAATCATGCCAACTTGGTGACTGGAGTGTGGAACCAGAAGTGGAGACGGAATGGCCATGGAAGAGAACACTGTGTCTACGTTAATCCTAAAGGGTTGGGCGTGTGTGTCTGAGTGGCGCGGTGCCAGACACTTGGCCAGAGAAGTGGTATAAGTGGTCCCTGCTTCTCAAAACGTAACAATTTGTTGTAGAACTATACAGGCTAGTTCAGAAAGAAGCATGTGGAGAAAACATCCGGGAAGCTAACAGTCACAGCACAAATTCAGGCATAAGCTAAAGAGGTTGTAAAATAATATGCCTTGAGGGTCTTAAAAACTGTCCAAATATTCTTCTGTCAGTAATTCCAGAGTCTAGAAGTTAGGACTCCCACTGGCCCTGTCATTTCTCAAATTTGACCTAAGGACTCAGTGTTTTCGGACTGGCCAGCTAGAACCTTTGTCGTTCAGCGTAGCCAAGCTCTTATTACCCAGTAGTGTACCGCCGTGGTTCAAGATTCTTAAGTGCTGAATTCTCCAAAACCTTCATCTCTCATCTCTTGAAACCAGGTGGTATAACCCTGCTTCAGCATTTCTCTCTCACTATCAAGGTGATCAAACTGTCGCTTAGAGAAAACTTCACCTTTGTCAGTGTGTCCTGAACTTCTCTGGCTTCTCATCCCCAGAAGTGAAGCCCACCTAGCAATCTCAGACATTGTTCATCACATTGTCCCTATCAGAGATGGCATCGCACAAAATTCAGAGTTTCTGGGAACATGTTAAACCTGTCACAGCAATGGTTCTGGCTACAGCAGGAGTAAAGAAATGTCTAAGCAAGAAAAATGTTTTGAAAGCCTCAAAAAAAGTTTGTTTGCTGTCATTAAACCAGTGGTTCTCAAGCCTAGCTGGATGGTAAGTATTTATGGAAGTAGGTTGTGGGGCCCTGTGCCTGGAGATTCTGATTGGGATGAGAAGTGGGGCTTGGGCAGCTATAGGTTTAAAAAGTTCTACTGGCAATTTGATATCCATCCATGCTTGAGAACACCTGCATAAGCTGCTAGATCGATAGACGCATTTTTTAACAGGGAAAACTAAACTCTGCAACACAAATCACTAATGACATACACACTCTGAAAACAGAAGAAAGTTTCCACATAATTTTTGAGAACTGATTTTTAAAGGCCAAAAATAATTCATAGGTAATAAATACTCCAAAGACTAGTCAATGGAATAAATTGAAAAGCTAGGTTCACAACTAGGTTTAATTTCAATTGATTAACTAAATATTTCTAAAAGAACGTATTGCCTTTTGTTAACCATGCCAAACTGATAAACTCTCTGGTAATAGCTTTACTTGTTTTATGCCCTTCTTAACTAAAACAGATTTCCATTTGAGCATTTATTTTTTATTTTTTAAGTTCCGGGGTACATGTGCAGGATGTGCAGGTTTGTTACAAAGGTAAACGTGTGCCATAGTGGTTTGCTGCACCTAGCAACCCATCACCTAGGTGAGTCTATTTCAAAGATTCCAAGGGTTCCCAATTCTCTTTACTGGCGTTTTACCAAATTCTGTTACTTTTTAAAAGTGATTAGTGCCTGCACCTTGGAAAACTATTGTACAACTTTTTTATGGTGTGATATTCAATGTAGTGGAATATGACCTACTTAGATTTTAACTAAATTAGTGAGATCCCTCAGAACATTCTACCAACACCAGCCATCCTACTCAAAAGTGACTTTATTTGTGACACCAGAAATATGGAAGCCCAATGTGTGAGCCTGCAAACTAGCTTCCCTCCTTCTGTGACACTTTTAAAAATATATTTCACAGCATTCAAATGGGGGAGAAATTTTTCTCACCTTGTAAACTTGCTTTATCTATTGAGTAAAACAAGGACAGTTTTCACTGCTACTTAACTGAGTAATGTAAATTTTTAACTAGGAAAAAAGCATTTATTTTTCTCTTTGTGGGTGTCATTATTACAGAAAGAAGCAACAAGAAACAAAGACTCTTGCTTGAGGATGTGAATTTGAAAAAAAAAATCCAGGCTGTCGTTCATCCTCTGTTTTTCAGTCTACTTGCCTCATACATATAACCTGGTTTTCCTGTCTTGGGAAATGGATATATTAGTAACTTGATATGAGTTAGCTCAAACCAGGTTTCCTACCCCTTAGTCCAGAAATTGCCCAGCAAGAGATTTAGGTATATTTGAAAAGAAAGAAAAAGATAAGATATAAGCCATCCACCATTTTGCCAAGTCCCAGAAATCCACCCATTGTTGTATTATTATTAGAACCCCCATAGACTGCTTTATAATTGCTAATTACCTTTTTATCTCTCTGACAATAAATAGCTTCTCTAAACTTAATTGATTTCATTCATGAAGACCGATAGATTACCCAAGGTTCTAGTCTCCATCTGTCATACAAATCCTGGCAGGATAACATTTTGTGTCTATGTATCTGTGTTTTAATAACTGATACTTTTATCCCTTTACTGTGACTGTGTACAGATTTAACCCAACCACAAGGCATTTTTGTAGAAAACTTGGTTTTCTTTATATTCTCTATAACGAATGTTAAGAATATTAATATTCGCTTTTATATTTTCACAAAACAATTTAGACTTAAAATATGTGTAGATAATATATACCTCTCTGTACCTCCCCCAACTTAAGAAATCAAGCATTATACATACAGTTGAAGACCTCATGTGCCCCTCCCAACAAGCTGATTTTTTTTAAATGGAGATTTCAAAATTTGCAAGCTTATTCACCAAGGAGAGATAATGGTTTATGGAAGGAACACCTATCTCATGCATGTAATAGGCAATACAAGTGTAAATGGGCAAAAGTCTTACTGAATAAAATGTTTGGACATTCCAAACTGATATAAGAAAAAGCTAAGAAAGCTGGAAATCACCTGTGGTTCAAAACCTGTGTCTTAACAATTACAAACTGGACGTGGGAAGCAGGTAAGCTTCAGAAAACAACAGTTTGGAGCAGAGATGAGGTAAGGATTCAGGTTTCATTCTTTCAATCAACACACTACATGAGCCTTGTCTTTTAGCTCATTTTAAGAGAGGTAAGCTACCACAATTCAAAATAAAAACTTTTATGTTACAAGCGAGGCGCATAACACTGTAAGATCGCGTAGAGATGGAGTACCAATTCTGACTGATGAAATCAGGGAAAGCTTTCTGCAAGAAATTATACGTGAACTGAATTCCGGAGTTGTAGGAGTTAACCAGGTGTTGTGGACTGTTTCTCCCCAAAATTCATATGTTGAAACCTCCCATCCCCAGTGGATGATGTTGGGAGGTGGGGCCTTTGGGAGGTAATTAGGATTAGATGAGGTTGTAACGGTAGAGCCCTCATGAATAGGATTAATGCCCTTTTTAAAGTCTCCAGAGACTTGCTTCTGCTCTCTGCCATGTGAGGATACAATAAGAAGTCAGCAGACTGTCATCCAGAAGAAGTCCCTCACCAGCACTTGTCCATGCTGGTACCCTGATCTCCAGCCTCTTGACCTGTGAAAATAAATTTCTGTTGTTTATAAACCATCCAGCTTATGGCACTTTGCTATAGCAGCCCGAATGGACTAAGATGCCAGCAAAGGGCAAAAGAAAGGGTGTTCTGGGCCTAGGGAACAGCCCACATGAAAGCATAAGAGCATAGAGCATTGGGAAAGAGAAAGTAGTGTTATTTAACTGGGTTTAACAGGAGAAGGGGAAAAAATGATGATTGAAAGGTGGGGCAAAGACCAGAATTGAAAAATTGCAAATGCATGATATGCCATTCCTCCCTCCTCCTGTACATATGGCAGATAATCAATCATAGTATTCAACTCTGTTATAGTGATTATGAGTAAAATCTAGGGCTACATGGTATGGGTTGAAATCCCAGCTCCTCCAGCTGTGTAAACCCAGACAATTTGGCCCCTGGAAGATACTGGATAAACGATTCACAAAGTTATCTCACCTGTAAAATGGAAATAATGGCAATACAAGTAGAGTGGTCCCTCCTCATCTTCAGGGAGTAGGTTCTACAAACCCCAGTGGATGCCTGAAACCCCAGATAGTACCAAATCCTATATATGTATATGACTTTTTTTTCCTACACATACACACCTGTGATAAAGTTTAATTTGTATATTAGGTACAGCAAAAGATTAACAACAATAATAAGATAGAACAATTGTAACAATACACAGAAATAAGAAGTTATGTGAATGTGGTCTTTTTCTCCAAATGTCTCATTGTGCTATACCTAGGGTAACTGAAACCAAGGAAAGCAAAAACGCAGTTAAAGGGGGACTATTATACTTGTGTCTTTTAGTTGTTTTCATTTGTTTATTTTTGAGGCAGAGTCTTACTCTGTTGCCCAGGCTGGAGTACAGTGGTGCTATCTCGGCTCATTGCAACCTCCTTCTCTGGGTTCAGGAGATTCTCCTGCCTCAGCCTCCCGAGTAGCTTGTATTACATGTGCGCGCCACCATGCGCAGCTAATTTTTATAATTTTTTAGTAGAGATGGGGTTTTGCCATGTTGGCCAGGCTGGTCTTGAACTCCTGGCCTCAAACAGTCCACCCACTTTGGCCTCCCGAAGTGTTGGGATTATAGGCATGAGCCACTACACTGTCTTATAGTTGTTAATGAGCTAATTAAATAATACAAAGTGCTAAAGAAGTATTTGCATGTAGGCAATGCTAAATAAATGATAGGTATTATTAATATTATTCTCCTAAACCTGAATGTAGCTTCATACTCATCAACACATTGTTATTGGCATCCCTCTTCAACCAATCAGAATGGGCACCCAGGGAGAACCTCCTTGCCATCATGGTTCCTGACATGACTCTGACTTAGAGCTCATCGTAATGCCCCTCATGTGTGACAATTCTTATTCACATTTAAGCAAGTTCTTATGATAAAAGGTTTCTCTCAGTCCAAAACAAGTCATAAAAAACTAGCGGCTCACATACCTAAGTATTTTCTTGGAAACTTAGAGATTATTTTTACTGATTTTCTTATGTATAATTTTTAAATAAAACACATCATACTCTAAGTAGTTTGGACTTTTTGTTCCTTAAATGCATTACTTCTCACTTGCTCAGATTCACGGTTACATACCATTTCATGGCTATGCCTCCTGAATTTCTGAACTCTATTCTCATCAGCTTGCAATTCTTATGCAGAGGATCTTAGCATTTCTACAAAGATGTAATTATCATGACTAATTGCTGGGCCTGGGATGTCTTTCATGCATGCATTCATTCCCGTTCAGAAACGCTTCTAGTATTCTCTATGGTGAGTATGAGCCAGACTAGGTGCTGAGGCTACAGGATCAAGCAGATAGGCATGGTTTTCACCTAGGAAAAGTTTAATATCCTCTGCCTATCCTTTAAGCACCACCCTTCAGGCTGAGAAGCTCTGTGAGCTCTCTGGTGGCCCACTGATGCCCCACCAAGATCTCCCTGGGTCCCTTTTAACGACTCTGTGCACCCATTTCTGAGCCTCTGCTCCCTTGGCTGAGTTCTTCAGAGAACTACCTGGCACCACTTCACCTGTATGAAGAACCAAACATGCCTAAGAGAGTATACCACCATTAGCAATGATTAACAGGTGTACATGCAAAAACCCAGCTTCTTTCCTTCAAAGTGTGACAATCTCTAAGGTGTCATTTATACTACAGAGCTCCCTGCATGGCCAGGCTGTCTCTTGCTTGATATCCCATCCCTACTTGACTCTTATGAGTCCTCCTGGATGTTATTTCTTTATAAATCACCTATTCTTGAATACTTGGCTCAGGGTCTACTCCTGGGAAAACTCAGCTTATGGTCACCCCTTTGCTTATTATTAAGATGTAGCATTTATCACATTGTATTTTCTTAGTCTAAGTTATGTTGTATACTCTATATTGTAAGATGCATGAGGACAGAGACCATGATTCATTCAACTTTGAAACTCCCCAAGCTATGACCCATAGCTGGAGCCCAGTCAATCTGTTTAATTAGCTTGAGTTGAAATGTCTCTGGTATGTTTTCCACACAATTTCTACCCCTCACTATTCACTTCTCTGATCTTATCCCCACTTCTCTGCCCCATGATAACACAGCTCTGGCCACCTTGGCCTTCTTAACTACTTCTCAGATATACCAAACTCACTCTTGTATCTGGCTGTAATACTTTGTCCTTCACCACCACCACCTTGCAGCTGTTGCTTCTTCAGGACCCTCCCTCACTTGCTAAATTTAGGTCTCTGCTCTGAGGATTCCTTGTCAGAGAGGCTTTCCCTGGTCAAATGATCCAAAGTAGCATTCCCTCCCACAACTGTTACTCTCTAACTCAAGCCTTTCTCAACTTAGGGTTCCTTGAGAAAATTAAGCCCTGTAGAAAATGGTTTCAAAGAGTGCTTTCTTTAGTCTCCCAAAGTACACAGTTGGTATCATTCTATTTGCATAGGAGAGAAGTTAATTCATTCTATACAAAGTGTGCCTTAGGGCATTAGAGTTTAATTCTCTGGTAGAACTGGTGGAAAAGGGCTGCTCTAAATTATTATCCTACTTTTTTCTTCTTACCTCTCATCAACATCTGATGAATTATTTCTTTGTTGTCTCCCTACCCTGCTCTCTTTACAATATAAGCATATGAACTTCTATTCTTATCCCTGCTTATTCCCAGGGTCTAGAACTGGTACACAGCCAGCACTCAAAAAGTATCTGTTGAATGAACTTCACAGGATCCATTTGTGTTATAACTTTTAATAACGTTTTTATGTTAAAACAATTCAAGTTACAACTTCTCCATGCAGAAAAAATGTATATTATAGATTACCCAAGAGGAATGATGACAGAAAATTCTAAATGGAATTGGGAAAGCAAAAAAAAAAAAATTTGTCCAGATAATAATAATGAAAGGCTTTAATTATCCAAACACAGAGCAGCCAACTGTTCAGTCAGAAGGAGAGGTGCGAGAGACAATGGGAATAGATGTCAATAAACTGAGAACTGCTTTCTAAATCCCACAAGGAAAGGAATGGAGGGAACTTTCATCCTAAACAGGATCAGAAATGGACCCAAGAGATTGTGTTGGGTGAACCACTAAGTAACAACTAATACAGTAATTAAATTCTACATCCTCATGGGACAGGGGAAAACCATGAAACAAATTGCACACACTTTAGATTTTTTAAAGGGAAATATGATAAATATAGTCTCTATTTAGGAGACATTTGAAATAAAAAACTTTAAAAAGTCAATAACCCACAAGAAAAGCCTAAATACCTTGTTGTTATTGTTGTTTGCTTTCCACGAAAAGCATATACCAAGGAATAAAAATAACAACCATTAGAGGTAGGAACTAAAAAGAGAACTATTAGAGCCATATAAATTATCAGAGAAAAGAGGGCATTTCCCTGCAAAACGGTAGTTCATGTGAAGAGAAGAAAGAAACCCAATCAATTATAAAGAAGGAGAATAATAACTACAAAAAAACTTTTAAAGCACCTTGCAAATGTCTCCAAAACCAATAAAACAGATTAATTTTAACATGCCAGAGGAAGGAAGTCACTCAAAGAATAAGTGGAATACTTTGATCTTGGTGAGATAAAGGATTTGCTCAAGAATGGAAAAGGGCATGTTTCACAGGCTGAATTATTTGCCCCAAATTAAGATATTGAAAAGATGATATAGAGACTTTCTTTTCTATGATATCCCCAAAGATGCACTAGTTAGAATTACTTTAGTGATTGAGGATACTTTGCAAGGCTGAACAAAATCCATATGGACAAGCCATCAGAAGTGAGAGATGGGGAACCTGCTGGCTCAAATGAATGATTTGTATCACAAATGTGTAGCTGTTCCCCATTCATATGAAGGGGTTCCGAGGGGCCTGAAAAAAAATTTCAAAGATTATTTTTGTTTAAATATCCAATGATTTTTAGCTTCCATTACAGGCTCTATGACTTTACCAAACTTGAAATTAAATTGACTTAATGAAATGGATATTTGACTGGACCTGATAAAAATTGTATGTGGCCACGTTCTTTCTGTTTCTTCTTATCTCTCTTGACATTAACTGTCACTTGTGAATTTACTGACCAATTACACTTAAAGTTACAGGTTTAAAACAAACCGAAAGCCTGACACATAATAACATTCAATAACTGTTACCTGCTTTAAAATATTTTTTAGTAAATAAATAAAAATACCAAAACCAAAAAATTAAAATAAAATCCAAGCTGTCTTCCCCTCCCCCTTTATTTTTTCTTTTTTGTGCTTTTCTGTCTGTTGGAATTCCATCTGCCATCTCCAGCTATATCAATAACGGCCCACTGATGAAAGTTTCTGCTAACAAGGGGTCCCAAAACATGGCCCTAATATGTTCTTATAGCTATTGATGCTTAAGAATTCATCCTAAGAGAATCTCAAAGTACCAAAAGCCATTGCATTAGAAAGAACATTCAGGTTTTCTGTTTTCAAAGATTTAAAAAATACGTATTTTCTTTTAGCTAGATCCCTCTCCTCAGTGTTATGATTGCCCGTGCTTCCTAAGATTAGAAATTTAGTTTCAAAGCGGGATCTAGACCCAGTTCTGTGCTTCTGCCAGGAATTTGGATTTCCATAGCCCAAGATCACTCCCCTCTGTATTATGGCCTCATCACACACACATGTTCGATTAAAACCCCAAATTAGAAAGAGTATTCAGGTTTTCTGGTTTCAAAGATTAAAAAAAATATATTTTCTTTTAGCTAGATCTCTCTCCCCAGTGTTATGATTGCTTGTGCTAATCCTAAGATTAGAAATTTAGTTTCAAAGTGGGATCTAGACCCAGTCCTGTGCTTCTGCCAGGAATTCAGATTTCCACAGCCCAAGATCACTCCCCTCTGTTGTATGGCCTCATCACACACACATTTTCTATTAAAAACCCAAACTGAGACTAATGCTTCCCACCTCAGAGATATAATTAGAAATGAGCCCCAGAGAAGTACTTTACTAATTTCTTCCAGTTTTCTTCTACAGTATTTCTCTACTCTAATCATGGTAATGACCATTACCAAGATTCCCATCTCCCAAGTCTCGGTTCAGCATCCAGCATCTCTCCTCTGAGCTTCGACGGCTACCTTGCTCCTCCCCTAATGTGGCTTCCATCACACTGTATTGCCATTGGCTGTTCAACAGTTTATGACCTCCACTAGACTAAGTTCTGTCTTGTCCATCATTGTATCCTGGCCCTTAGAATAATGTCTGGTGCAGAGTAGGTGCTCAGTAGTCACTTGTTAAATGAATAAGAGCACTGTTTCTCAGAAGCCACCCACTACTTCTGCTGGCATCTCTGCTGATTTCCCTTTGAACTGGAGAATTATCCTTACCTATTAATGGGGCCTATCATTAATATTCTGTTACATTTCTTTTCCTTTGGGGGCTCTTTCCTCTTTCTGCGAATACATGCATGTATAAATATTTACATTTCTTCTCATATTAAATTACTTCTCCATTCTCACATTTATTTCTTTCCCCTTGCTAATTTTACTTAGAGCATCAAACCTAGATAGCATAATTTCAAATGTGAGCAACTGACCCCTTGCACAAATTGCCAGTGATTGGATCAATAGCCATATATCCAAACAAACAAAAGGCAATATAAGATATTCTTGATGTTCCATTCCTTTACATTCCATTTTTTTTGTAATTCTAAGTAAAAACTTTCCTTTCTATGAATTTTTCTGTCACTACATCTTATTCATTTACAAAACACTATGTCAGTGGGTTTCAAACTTGAGTGTGTACCAGAATCACCTACATCAAAAACCAAATTCTTGGACCCTACCCATAGGGTTTCTGATTAAGTAGATCTGGGGTGAGGGCTGAGAATGTACATTTTTAACAAGTTTCTAGATACTGCTAATGCTTTTACATGAGAAGTGCACTTTAGAATCACTATACTGTGTCAGTGATACAGTGTTTAAATGACAAACTAATAATATTAAAAATTAATAAATAATCAAAAATCTATGCACAAAAGGAATTGTTTTGTATGATTGGTTATGACCAAAGGAGGGACTGGAGTCATTCCAGGATGCTACTCCACTATGGCACCACAGCTCAAATGGTCAGCCAGATGTTGAATATCATTCAAAAGAAATAAAGATTTCTGCAATAAAACTGTGTGTATCTCTGGTTATTGAAATTCAAAAAAGCTACAGCAGCCCTGGAAAAAGTGCCGGGAAGGGCATCTAGGCTGATGGAAAGTAAGAGTTCCATTGGACAGAGGCTACCCTATAATAAAAGGAGGTGGTAGGTTTTCTCATTTCAGGATGGTAAAAGTTAAGAAGTGGGACAATATAATTTTCTAAGATCATGAACATTACAGGTAGACTAATGGCCCAATTCTGAAACCCTAGAATGCACAGCTAGGGTAGTGGGATCCTTTAAAACTCAACTTAGGGAAGTTTATGAAGCAAGTACTATTTTATTCAGTGGGAATACTTTGTGGCACTCATAATCTTCAAGAACAATGTGAATGAGGAAAATAAAGATAATGAAAATATATTTTGTCAAGTAGATAATGATAAAATGATAAACTGCTTAGAATGAAAAAGTGAATTAGCCTATAACATAAAAGTGAGGACAACCTATCTCCTCATTACATGCCCCCCTAGTGCTGCCTTTGACAAAATAATGTAGTAAACACTCCTTGAGTTTTGCCTCATAACACAGTTCTGACCTTTTCCTTTTTTAAAAAATTGAAATAGGGTCTTGCTCTGTCATCCAGCCTGGAGTGCAGTGACGTGATCATAGCTCACTGCAGCCTCAAGCTCCTAGGCTCTAGTGATCTGCCTTAGCTTCCTGAGTAGCTAGGACTACAGGTACATGACTCCATACCCAGCTAATTTTTTTATTTTTTTAGAGACAGGGTCTCACTATGTCGCCAAGCCTGGTCTCGAACTCCTGGGCTCAAGTAATCCTCCCACCTTGGCTTCCCAAAGTGCTGGGATTACAGGCATGAGCCACTACACTGGGCTCAGTTCTAACCCTCAAGACCAGATGAGCAATATAAGACCTTTAGACTTCATGTTGCCCACCTCACCTTGAAATATGACCTGTGATCCAAATTTAGCACCAGTAACAAAAAAAAATTAAAGTTAATGAACAATAATCTATCCATTTACTCACACGTGCTCTAGCTTTGAGAGCCTTCTGGGAATGGTAATTTATGCAGCCCTGATAACTGTGTGAGTTTGAGAACCCTTCTGTCATCCAGGGCTGAATCACTGACAGATAAAACATGACATATGATACAGTAAACGAAAAAAGAGTGAGAGAGACACAGATTATGGTTTAAGGTAGGGTTTGCAATACAAATGCTTATGGAGTGAAGCAGGCGAAGCAAAAAAGTGAAGCAGGCTAGGATAAGACAATACGTAGAAGCTGGAAGTGGTGGCTCACGCCCATAATCCCAGCACTTTGGGAGGCTGAGGTGGGCGGATCACCTGAGGTCAGGAGTTCGAGACCAGCCTGGCCAACGTGGTGAAACCCCGTCTCTACTAAAAATACAAAAATTAGCCCAATGTGGTGGCACATGCCTGTAATCCCAGCTACTGGGGAGGCTGAGGCAGGAGAATTGCGTGAACCCGGGAGGCAGAGGTTGCAGTGAGCTGAGATCACGCTACTGCGCTCCAGCATGGGCGACAGGAGCAAAATTTCATCTTAAAAAAAAAAAAAGAAAAGAAAATAGGACAATACAAAGAAGCAGGAACTGTGTTGTTAGTGAGTTTCAGCTTGTTGCTACAACGTAAGAATGCAAAATCTCTCATATCTCATGATTTTTTCAGAAATCTAGAAACCTGGACTTTTTATGGGAATTTATCCAGTTTTTTTGTTTGTTTGTTTGTTTTTTAAGTCTTTGGGCCAACCGAAACACATCTGCAAATCAGATACAGCCCTTGGCTAAAAGGGTCAATTCCCCATCCTAAAATCTCCCAAACTCCTCCTTAGAACTGCATCACGTGATCATTGCTGAGTACAAGGGAAACCAAGAAGTATAGTTTTTTTGTTTTTGTTTTTGTTTTTTTGTGGAGAGAGTACCTTGTTGGTATTAATAAAATCTGGATTCTATTACTAAGCAAAAAAGGAAGTCACGCATCCTAAGGAGGGAAGATGCCCCATGCTTTGGAACACTAGACCTAAGAGATTCCACAAATATCTAACTTTTCAGCAATCTCCTTTCTCTCTGCCCTTGAAAGATCCTTGGAGGTCTCTGGATCAATATATTGGCCTGAGTATAATGTGACTTATACTGTTAATTATATAACCATAATGAATTGAAGGACTGTAGTCACTGTGCCAAATGTGGCCATTTTCAATATAGTGCAGGTCTATATTAAGCAAACACGTGAAAGAAAATATAGCTAAAAATTCCAGGTACACAAATTAAAACTTGAATTACTACTTTTTCTAGGACTTTCATGATATGACAGATGTACTTTTCCTGTCATTGCCCTAGTCTCAAGACAAGCAAATGTTTGAGAAGTCATTAGATTTAAATTACTTTGGGAAATATCATTGAAGTCAAAAGCTATACGGAACAAGTACACATTTCTCATTTTCATGTCAATGACTGTCTTATTTGAAGAGTCAATTGTATTCATTTTAAAACCCAGAAAAAGAAGGCAATAATCTACCAGTAATGATGCAATGGTCATGGGTGGAGATTGATTAAGCCTTCAGGACTTCCTTATTATTTACCTGATTTCACATTTGCTGGACTTCACCTTAAACAACGTAGGTGTGATGCATCTGAGACACTAGGCAGAGTACTAGTTTCAGGTGTTCTGTAGTCTCAAGAGATCTGAATTCACTATTAATTTCACCTAGAATTCATTTTCTTCAAATTTTATGATAATCAAGGATGTACTTAACCACCTTTTCCATTCACCGGGAAGAAAAGGAAACTATTTGTTTCCGTATTTGCATTTGATTCATTTCAAGTTTTTTTTTTATTTGCTTTTTCATTTTGTGGGGTTGACTTTTTGGGAGGGTACCAATGATGAAGTACTCTTGATTCAACATCTCTAGTCATTAAGATGTTCTAGAACTAATGATGTCTGAGGAGTCTGACAATAGCAACACAAATTAACATTTGAACATTAAATCCTCAGTGCTGGAGTTGCTTACTCTGGGTCACGCCAACCAACTCTCATGCGCCTTCATCTATTCATTGAAGAGGGCTTCCAGCCTTGGTAGAGCCAATATCTGTGTTTCAATCTAGCCAAGTCTTACTGTACTTCATCATTACCCTTTCAGTGAGAAATGTCAAGGACCTGCCCTTTCTTGCAGCTTTAGGGAATGGTTTTTCTGTATCTTCATATTCCAAAGCAGGAATCAGATGGGAATTAGTATTTTCCTTGTCAACCTAAAAGTTTCACTTATATCACATTTGCCCTCAGCAACCCATGTTAAGTCTTGTGAATCAATCCTTAATTCAGACTTTTAAACTCACAGTTCATGATATAAAATACCCCTCTGTATTATACAGACATTGCTTTGGACTAGATATATGAGAAATCCAGCTCTGTAGCTTATCTAAAATTTATTTTAATCTTCTCATGTAGCAAGAAATCAGGAGGTAGGCTGGTATAGTGGCTGTGCAAGGTTGTCGTTGCAAGTCAAGTTTCCCTAGAAAGCAGACTTTGTCATGGAAACTGCATGTATGAAGTTTACTGGGGAGATCACCTGGGATCAACAACCTGTAGGGTAAGGGCAGGCAGCAGGATTGTATAAGAGGAAGAATTTGGGCTGTGGTATGGTCACAAGACCTCAGTGAAACCTGCAGGGAGCTGTGAAGCTTGTCCTTCAGAATCTTTCAGTGTTGGACCAAGGTGGCAGGCATCTATACTCTTCATCAACTAGTCACTGGATGTGGGCTGCCTGCCAGGAAGGGGCATGACCTGGAGTAGGGTGTCTGTCTTCAGCTGAGGGCAATTCTCAGAGAGGGCTCATAGCAGAGGGACACCAGCTATCAACAGACCCAGTGGTGGAGATTAGTGGTGGGTTCCTGAAGAAGGATCAGGCAGCATAGCACAGTGCCCAGCACAGCTGTCCATGTCTCAGACTCCTTCTGCCTTCCTGATCTGCATTATTAGCATGTGGCTTTCATGCTAATGGATGATTCATGATCTCAAGATCACTTCCACCCCCAGCCTTATTTCTGCACTCTAGACAGGAACAAGAAGGAGCGCCTGTATCAGGAAAGCAACTGTTACCCAGAAATGTTCAGCAATCTTCTACTTATGTCTCATTGGCCAGAGATTGTCAGATGGCTGCTCTAGCTGCAAGAGATGATGGGAAATGTGTATTTCAGCCAGAAACATTGCTGCCTTGACCAAAATCAGCATTTAGAATTTTTAAAGAAAAAGAAGAAATGTGTATGGCATTAGCAACTAGCAGTTCTCCCAAACCATCTGATTTTCAAAAAGAGTTAACTCTCTTTGGCAAGGAGTTAGTGGCTCTATAAACCTCAAGGATTTTTTTTCTATTTTGTTTTCAGGAGTCACTTTAACTTAAATTTTGTATTAGTTGTACTACTACCTCCTCTGCAGTCACTGGTGTTCAGACTTCATTTTCTAATAGTCATGTTTATCTCAAAATAATAATTTTTAAACTTCTGAGTGACTTCTCTCCTTTGCCCTTTCTCTCTCACATCCATGTACATATACAGACACACAGGATTTCACTATTTCTGTGATGTTGAAAATCAGTGATGATAAATAATTATTATTAGATCTTCATCTGTGCTGGATCAAACTAAGATACATCTAGAGATAAAGGAGAAGAAAGACCTTTGTCAAAAGGATCACAAAGAGAACAGAAGTATAACAAGTCAAAGGTGGGGAATCCTGCTAAAGTAGAATTGGCTGGGAGTACAGTTGCCAGATTTAGCTAATCAAAATGCAGGATGCCCAGTTAAATTTGAATTTCATCTACTTTTATTTTGTTCTGGGCCAGGGTCTCACTCTGTCACTTAGGCTGGAAGGCAGTGGCGTGATCATGGCTCAGTGCAGCCTCAACTCATTAGGCTTATGCGATTCTCCCACCTCAGCCTTCCCAGTAGCTGGGACTACAGGTATGCACCACGACACCTCGCTAATTTTCAAATTTTTGTAGACATGGGATCTTGCTGTGTTTGCCCAGGCTGTACTTGAACTCCTGGGCCCAAGCGATTGTCCCATCTTGGCCTCCCAAAGTGCTGAGATTATAGGCATGAGCCACCATGCCAGCCCTAAATTTGAGTTTTAGACAAATAACAAATAATGCCAATATATCCCAAATATACTTCTACAAATTGCATAGGACATAATGATACTAAAATTTACTTGTTGTTCATCTGAATTTCAAATTTCTCTGGGTATCCTTTATTTTTTCTGGCCACCCTAACCAGAAGGAATAATGTTCACACTGTCACAGGGTTATATACTGCCATTGTGCCCATTTCTATAGCTATTAACATCAACCACTGCCTTGGAACTTTTCCACCAACCTCTAGTCTGAGAACGGCTGTCCAATATTTCTGGAAACTAATTAATTGATTCAGCTAAAGCTAAATAATTTCTTACAACAAATTACATTTTTAATATTTACTGGAGCACAGATTCTCCTAGGGTACATGGATAGGTTTCATGTACCTTAATGGGTCTCTGAATCCACCAAGATTGTGTAGAAAACTGTGTGTATGGACATTTTTCAGGAGAGGAAGGTCATAGCTCTCATCACTTTCTTTTTTTTTTTTTGAGACAGAGTCTCACTCTGTCACCCAGGCTGGAGTGCAGTGGTGTGATCTCGGCTCACCACAACCTCCACCTCCTGGGTTCAAGCCATTATCCTGCCTCAGCCTCCTGAGTAGCTGGGATTACAGGCATGTGCCACTATGCCCAGCTAATTTTTTATTTTTAGTAAAGATGGGGTTTTTCCGTGTTGGTCAGGCTGGTCTCGAACTCCCGACCTCAGGTGATCCACCTGCCTCGGCCTCCCAAAGTGCTGGGATTACAGGCTTGAGCCACCACGCCTGGCCTCATCCCATTCTAAAAGGAGTAATGACTCAAAAAGCTGTTCATTCCCAGGCATAGGGCAGCTTGTTAACTTATCTTGGTTATTTTATATGGGGACAGAAGTAGAAATATCAGTCATAGAACAAATGCTTTAGAATTCTTCTTTTAGGGAAATTTGGAGCAAATATGAGAATAAACTCTTTTCTTTGACAGTCCAAAGTCAATTGTAGAGTTAGGCATTAGTCAGAAGTATTATTAAGCAATACCTCTTAATCTTAGAAATCACTCACACTGTTTGCTTAGCACCTATGTGAGTGAAGTTTCTCTTCTTTAACTATTGAGCTGTTTCAAAGGAGGGAGACCACCATACTCCCTCTCTCACCCACAGTTTTTGGAGGGGCAGATTGAGAGGTTTGTCTACACTCAAGACCTGTAGTCCTGGCCTTGTCACTATTTTTCTTAAGTGTCTCGTTCATTCATGGAGCTTGACGGTGAGAACCTCCAATTAGAATTCTTTGCTTTTCATTTGGGATTCTGTTCTCTTATAGGAGATACTACAAAATAGCAAGCATAGAAACAGTCTCATGAGCTAACGTAAGAAAGTGGAATTCTTTTTTGTGCTCCCTTCTGTTCCCAGTGCAAAGGAATGGTCTAACCCTTGAAGCATCATGCTCTCCTAACAACAGTTTTCTGAATTCATGTGCTTATAAATGATGCACTCATTGTACCATGGCAAATTTTCAGGAAAGCTTCCAGCCACATGTGCAGGTTTCTCCAATAGTCTCTGGCATACCACCATTAACTACATCTCAGAGTGAGTTATGCCCAGTAGACCATGAGCATTTTGAAGGAATCACATCTTATTTGACTTTTTTACTTCCAGATCTAATTTATTGCCTAGAATACAATAGAGAGTCATAAATGTTTGTTGAATGATTGAAAGGATGGATGAATGAATAAATTAATGAACAAATAAAAGTTGCATAAGACCACAAGGAGCAGGCTTAAGATAGCTTGGTCAGTGGCTAATATCAACATTTCCTCTTCTGTATGCACACCTCTCCTTCGAGAACTCAGAATGTAGAATTATACATTCCTCTCCAGCCTCTAGAAAGGAGGAAACCGATTTAGAATTTTTATTCTACTCCAGAGGGATTTTATCTTTTATTTTGAATATTCTGTTGAATTGATCTGGGAAAGAGAAAACAGATTCCAAGATTCTAGATTCGTCTTTAAATGTAGCCTATCAGGCTCATAAACAAGAACTCAGGGGCAGAGAAGTCTTCTGGAAGGAATTGTTTTCTAAGCTGAGACTTCCCAGATGAACAAGGATTAGTTAAGCAAATGGAGTAATGAGTGTTGAGGCAATGAGAGAAACACGTGTTCTGAATAGAGAAACCATACCTGAATGCCATAGTCCAAGGGTGGGAAGTTCCTGGGCACATTTGAGACAAATCAGACAAGGTTTATAAACTAATTCAAGAAGTGCCACCCTTGAGCATGGGCAAGTTCCTACATCCTCCCTGCTGGGCCCATGCCTCAGGGGAACCTGTGCTTCGGAGAGCCTTCCTCAAAATTTCCTAAGTTTCCCTCCAATGTTTCAGACCATTTGGCTATGGCAGTGCCATTTGGGCAGGGCACCCAGAGCTCAGACTGGGATTTGCATGGAACCTCTATTTCTCTCCCCAGAGTACTCTCTAATCTACCTCATATGTGGGGTTGAGCAGATGACCCAAGGAGCTCTGGGACTCATACTATGGGGTTTTCTTAGGGCTGCAGGACGAGGCCTTGTTCCTAGAATGGTAGTCTGGCACGCAGATTGCTCCTGCTGGCAGATGCAGTATTTTTTGCATATAATCTCATGAGATTGGGCCACTGGAATGATGTTGACATGCTGGTTTGGGGTGGCTCAAACTGTTTCTATAGACAGAGGCCCCACCAAAAATATTTTCCCAGCCACTCTATGGGTGGCTTTGTTAAGGAATTTGGACTTTGTCTCAAGAGTAAGAGAAAAAAATCAAACTACATTACCCCCAAATCCATTTTGTCTAAATCTTTTTCATTAAATTTTTTATTTTGGTAAAATGTAAATAACATAAAATTTACCATTTTAGCCATTTCTATACAGTTCAATGGCATCAATATCTTTAATGCAACCATTAAATCTCTCATTTGGTATGGTAAGAAACGAAAGCCCAGAGAGGCCAACTGACTAATCAAGGTCACACACGTTACTAGCGGAAGAGCTCTGCATTGTGCAGTCAGTGCTGTTTCCACCTTTCCAGTTCATTCATTTAATGGTTGAGTAAACTGAATCCCTGAAAGGCAAAGTGACCTCGACCAAGCCAAGAGCAGGACTAGGAAGATCTCTTGACCTCAGGCCAGTGCTCTACTTTCCCCATCTCACTACTCCAGGCTGCCCTGACCTCCCTCCTGCATCGTCTGCCTTCCCTAGTTCTTTCTACCAGAAATTCTGAGCTTTCTTGCACCAAAATGTGAGTTTCACACAGCCAATTAGCACCTAAAAATGATTTTCTAAATCAGTACTTGGGGAGTGTCAAATCCATTGGTTGCAATATGTCTTCACACCAAACTTCAGTAATTTGTCAGTTATGGGTGAAAAAAACTACGTGCCGCCATTTCCCATCACTACTAAAGTTCTTCATGCAGAATTTTTGGCTGTAAATCAAGTTTAAGGAATCCATAGAGTAATTTAGATTATTTCCAATGCATTATATACATTGGGATTAGTTTGCTTAAATATATGACCATTTAAGAGTGTCTGGCACATAGTAAGTGATCAATAAATATTTGTTGACTAAATAAAATGTAGGTATTATTCATTGAATTGAATTTTTCCATTTAAAAAAACTGAGGTATAATTTACATGCAGTACAATTCACCCTTTTAGGTGTACAGTTCTGAAAGTTTTGACAATGTTTATGATCATGTCACCACTACCACAACCAAGATATAGAATAATTCTTTCATCCCCAAAATTACTCTGTGCCCCATTGTAGTCAAACTCCTTCCCTACCTTCAGCCCCTGGCAACCATTGATCTCTTTTCTGTCCGTATAAGTTTGCCTTTTTGAGTATGTTATATAAATGAGTTCATACAGTATGCAGCCTTTTGAGCCTGGTTTTTTTCACTCAGCGTTATGTTTTTGGGGTGCTTCTATGTTGATGCATGCATTAGTAGTTCATTACTATATTCCACTGTATGCAGCAAGTCTGCAAATAACATTGTTTCATTATAACATTGATGAAAATAAAAATATTGATTCCTCCACTACCTGTGTGGAGTTTGCATTTTCTCCCCATGTCTGTGTAGGTTTCCTCTGGGTACTCCACTTTCCTCCCACTTCCCAAAGCTGTCCATCTTAGGTTCGTTGACATACCTAAATCGTCCCAGTCCAAGTGAGGCTGGGAGCATGTGTGAGTGTGCCCTGCAAAGGAATGACATCCTGTCCAGGGCTGGTTCCCATCTTTCACCCTGTGCTGCTGTAATAGGCTCTAGCCATCCATGACTCGAACTGGAATGAGCCAGTAAAGGATGATCTTATTTGCTTTTATTAATTTCTCTTTTTTTCTTTTTTCTTTTTTTTTGTTTTGACAGAGTCTCGCTCTGTCGCCCAGGCTGGAGTGCAGTGGCATGATCTTGGCTCACTGCAAGCTCCAAGTCCCGGGTTCATGCCATTCTCCTGCCTCAGCCTCCCTAATTTTTCTTAATGTATTATAGTTCACAATTATTTCAATGCCTAATATTGGAAGTGTTTTGGTCCTTATTCAAAAGTTTGATGATGTTTTTGTGACCAGAAATATACTGTAGGAGCTTCACTCTTGTTTATATCAATTAGCATATGGTAAAATTGGTTTTCGTTATGTGTCATTTTTCTGAAAGTTGCAGTTTCCGACAACCCGTTGTACCATAGCTTTTGCCTGTTTCCCGGTTGAAAGGTATTTGGGCTGTTTCCAGATTTTATTATGCGTTGGATTTTAACTTCAGTGTTTCTTTGTTTAAAGGCCTGTCAGCATCTAAGACTGCAGGAAGAAAGTGTCTTCAAAATCCCTATTAATTGTATGATCTGTGTTAGAAATGACAGAATATTAGAGTTAAGGCAAAGTGTAAGTCTAACTTCCTGCCAGCAAAGCAAGAGGTAAAATGTGAAGCATGAACGTAGATCCTGAGTGTTGGATGGTGTTGGATGGATTAGAACCTGGGTCTGGACCCTCATCCTGGCTCTGCTTTGGAATCTTGGTGGGTGGGTGTTTGACCTTTTCCTGGCTAATGTGTATCTTGAGAATATTTTGTCCACATGCTGGGACAAACATACCATGTTATGAGACCTGTTCCCTTTTCCCAATATTTTTTGCAGCTACAGCAGTCACTTGCCCATGACCTCACTAGTCAAATACAGTACAGGAGACTGATTTTTATGAGAACAAGAGAGATCCATTTTCTGGGAAGTGAGGGTGTCTAGCTTAAGATAACAGCAAGAGGAGGAAGTCTGGCACCACAGCTTAGCATTGCCAATCCAGTTTATGATGTCTGTGATCAGCAGCAACGTTAGCTGAAAAGGGATCATTTGCTGTAGCTAAGAACACTATTATCTCAGCAGAAAGGGCCAGAAATTGAGCCTTCTGATGTTGTTTTCTTATCTGATTATTCTTCTCTGGTTATTTTTATCTGTAAAATAGATCATAAAATAAATCAAAATTCTTGACATTTTTATGGGTAACTCTGGGTATTTTTCCCTGTATCAGATGTAGTGGTCTCATTTGAGGATCTACCAAAGAAATTACACTCAGGTTTCATGAATTGTTTGGCTTTCCCTACAAATGCATTTTTATCTTACAGATATAATGAATTACATATGTGATGGTGTTTCCTTATGTTATTGGCTGCTAGAGAAATCAGAGCCAAATTTGTGGCCCATCTTCAGCAGTTTCATAGACTTTCAGACATTCCTTTTGTATTTCAAATTTACTACACTTTCATCTTATTTTTTGACTTTTTAAAAATCTTTATTCCCAGTTCCCTCACTTTAAAAAGTTTATATTATAAAGAAAAAATGGAACATTATCTTACTACCCAGATAACTCCAGGATATGTATAATTAAAACTCTACAGAAAGGTACAAAAGAAAAATAAGAGTTTCTCAACTCTTCTAACATCCATTTTCCCAAAGACAACCACATTTCCTTCCAGGAAAAAAACATAATTCCGTGAACATTTACTTAAAATTAAATTACAATTTAAAGGGTAAAGAACTTCCTAACCCCATAGTTAGAGATCATAATGATGTTCTAAATCATTACATTTGCTATCTCAGTATAATTTTTATAATAGGGTAAAAGACCTCCAAAGCATATAGTAGTCTGAAAACCACAATTGTTTGACATTTGATGATTTGCAAATATAGTGTAAAATCTTGTTGAATAATTACTGAGGCTATCTCTGCTAACTGCAGAAGTAGACTTGCTAACATTGAGAATACAGTTGACCCTTGAACAATGCAGGGGTTGGGGTGCTGACCCCTGTGCATTAGAAAACTTATGTATAAATTTTGACTCCTTCAAATTATAACTACTAATATCCTATTGTTGACTGGAAGCCTTCCCAATAATAATAAACAGTCTCCTAACACATATTTTGTATGTTAGATGTATTATATACTATATTCTTACAATAAAGTCAGCGAGAGATAAGAAAATATTATTAATCCCACTACTGAGTATGTACCCAAAAGAAAGGAAATCAAGTACATTGAAGAGATATCTGCACAACTCTCTTTGTTGCAGCACTGTTTACAATAGCTAAGATTCAGAAGCAACCTAAGTGTCCATCAACAGATGAACGGATAAAGAAAATGTGATACATGTACATAATAAAGTACTATTCAGCCATAAAAGAAGAATGAGATCCAGTCACTCACGATAACATGGGTGGAACTGGAGATCATTATGTTAAGTGAAATAAGCCAGGCACAGAAAGACAAACATCACATGTTCTCACTTATTTGTAGGATCTAAAAATAAAAAACGATGAAACTCATGAACATAGAGGGTAGAAGGATGGTTACGAGAGGCTGAGAATTGTAGAGCGGGGGTTGTGGGGAGGTAGAGGAGAGTTATTGGGCACAAAAAAATGCATGAATAACACCTACTATTTGATATCACAATAGGGTGACTATAGTCAATAATAACTTAATAGTATAGTGTAAAAATAACTTAAAGAATGTAATTGGATTGTTTGTAATTCAAAGGATAAATAGTTGAGGGGATGGATATTCCATTCTCCATGGTGCGATTATTTTACATTGCATGCCTGTATCAAAATGTTTCATGTCCTCCATAAATATATACAACTACTATGTACACTCAAAAATTTAACAAATAATATTTTTAAAAATAATAAAAAGAAAACATTATTTAGAAAGTCATAAGGAAGAGGAAATATGCTTACTGTTCATTAAGTGGAAGTGGATCATCATAAAGGTATTCATCTTTATCATCTTTATATTGAATAGGCTGAAGAGCAGGAAGAAGAGGAGAGGTTGGTCTTGCTGTCTTAGGGGTGGCAGAAGCAGAAGATAATCCATGCATAAATGGACCTGCACAGTCCAAAGCTGTGTTCTTCAAGGGTCAACTGTATATTTATTTAAATTTACATAAAGAGATCATATTCTACATAATTTTCTGTACCTTGTTTCTTTTTCTTTTCAACTAATAATATATCTTAGAGATTTTTTCTGTCAGAATATATAGAAGGCACTTATTTTAAAAAGGTCTCCATAGTATTCTACCTTATTAATGCAACACAATTTACTTAACTGGTCTCCTGAACAGTGAATCCTTTCATTTTCTCCATTTTTTCACTATTATAAAAAATTTTCAATGAATATTCCTTGTATTAATCTGTTTTCACGCTGGCATAAAGAAATGCTTGAGACTGGATAATATATAAGAAAGAGGCTTAATCGGCTCACAGTTCCGCAGGCTGTACAGGAAGCATAGTGGCTTCTGCTTCCAGTGAGGCCTTAGGAAGCTTCCAATCATGATGGAAGGTGAAGGGAAAGCCGATATATCTTATGTAGCCAGAGCAGAGGCAAGGGTGGTGGGGAGGTGCCACACACCTTTAAACAACCAGATCTCACAAGAACTCACTATTGCAACATCACCACCAAGGGGGATGGGGCTAAACCATTCATGATAAACCACTCCCATGATGCAATCACCTCTCACCAGGCTCCACCTTCCAACATGGGGGATTACAATTCAACATGACATTTGGGCAGGGACACAGATTGAAACCATATTATTCCACACCTGGCCCCTCCCAAATCTCATGTTCTTCTCACATTTCAAAATACAATCATGCATTCCCAACAGTCCCTTAAAGTCAGGAGACGAAAGGCACTTCTTACATGATGTTGGCAAGAAAAAAAAATGAGGAGGAAGCAAAAGCAGAAACCCTTGATAAACCCATCAGATCTCATGAGACTTATTCACTATCACGAGAATAGCACAGGAAAAACTAACCCCCATGATTCATTTACCTCCCCCTGTGTCCCTCATATGACAAGTGGGAATTCTGGGAGATATAATTCAAGTTGAGATTTGGTTAACTCAATTTGAGTTCCAGCATTAACTCAAAAGCTTTAAGTCTAAAGTCTCATCCGAGACAAGGCTAGTACCTTTTGCCTATGAGCCTGTAAAATAAAAGCAAGTTAGTTACATCCAAGATACAATGGGGGTATAGGCATTGGGTAAATACTCCCATTCCAAAAAGGAGAAATTGGCCAAAAAAGGGGGCTACAGACTGCATGCAAGTCTGAAACTCAGCAGGGCAGTCATTAATTTTTTTTGTTTGTTTTGAGACAGAGTCTTGCTCTGTCACCCAGTCTGGAGTGCAGTCTGCAACCTCCGCCTGCTGGGTTCAAGCAATTCTCCTGCCTCAGCCTCCTGAGTAGCTGGGACTATAGGCACGTGCCACCATGCCCAGCTAATTTTTTGTATTTTTAGTAGAGACAGGGTTTCACCATGCTGGCCAGGCTGGTCTCAAACTCCTGACCTTGTGATCCACCTGCCTCGGCCTCCCAAAGTGCTGGGATTACAGGTGTGAGCCACTGCTCCCGCCTCAGTCGTTAGATTTTAAAGCTCCAAAATAGTCTCCTTTGACTCCATGTCTTACATCCAAGGCACACTGATGCAAAAGGTGGGCTCCCAAGGACTTGGGCAGCTCCACCCCTCTCTCTTTGCAGGGTGCAAACCCTGTGGCTGCTCTCATGGGTTGATGATGAGTACTTGTGGCTTTTCCAGGTGTAGGATGCAAGCTGTCAATGGATCTACCATTCTGGGGTCTAGAGGACAGTGGCCCTCTTCTCACAGCTCCACTAGGCAGTGCCCCAGTGGGGACTTTGTGTGGTGGCTGCAACCCCTCATTTCCCCTCTGCACTTCCCTAGTAGAGGTTCCCCATGAGGGCTCCACCCTTGCAACAGGCTCCTGCCTATATATCTAGACTTTTCTATACAACCTCTGACATTCAGGTGGAGGCTCCCAAGCCTCAAGTATTGCACTCTGAGTGCCCACAGGTTTAACACTGTAAGCCACCAAGGTTTATGCTTGCACCTTTTGAAGCAGCTAGAGCTGGAGCAGCTGGGATATTGGGTGTACCTGGGCCCCTTTGAACCATGGCTGGAGCTGGAGCAGCTGGGATGCAGGGTGAAGTGTTCTGTGGCTGCACAGATCAGCAGGGTCCTGGGCCTGGCCAAGTGATATGGTTTGGCTGTGTCCCCACCACCCAAATCTTAACTTGAATTGTATCTCCCAGAATCCCTACTTGTTGTGGGAGGGACCCAGGAGGATGAAATGGAATCATGGGGGCTGGTCTTTCCCATGCTATTTTTGTGATAGTAAGTCTCATGAGATCTGATGGGTTTATCAAGGGTTTCCACTTTTGCTTCCTCCTCATTTTTTTTCTTGCCACCACCATGTAAGAAGTGCCTTTTGCCTGCTGCCATGATTCTGAAGCCTCCCCAGCCATACGGAACTGTAAGTCCAATTAAACCTCTTTTTATTCCCAGTTTCGGGTTTGCCTTTATCAGCAGCATGAAAATGAACTAATACCGTAAAATTGGTACCAGTAGAGTCGGGCACTGCTGAAAATATACCCAAAAATGGGCCCAAAAATGTGGAAGTGACTTTGGAACTGGGTAACAGGCAGAGGTTGGAACAATTTGGGGGACTCAGAAGAAGACAGAAAAATGTGGGAAAGTTTGGAACGTCCTAGAGACTTGTTGAATGGCTTTGGCAAAAATGCTGATAGTGATATGAACAATAAGGTTCAGGCTGAGGTGGTCTCAGATGGAGATGAGGGACCTGTTGGGAACTGGAGCAAAGGTGACTCTTATTATGTTTTAGCAAAGAGACTAGCGGCATTTTGTTCCTGCCCTAGAGATTTGTAGAACTTTGAACTTGAGAGAGATGATTTAGGGTATCTGGGGGAAGAAATTTCTAAGCAGCAAAGCATTCAAAAGGCAACTTGGGTGCTGTTAAAAGCATTATGTTTTAAAAGGGAAACAGAGCATTAAAGTTCAGAAAATTTGCAGCCTGGTGATGCAGTGGGAAAAAAACCATTTTTTTCAGAAGAAATTCAAACTGGCTGCCAGAATGTGCGTAAGTAGCAAGAAGCCTAATGTTAATCCCCAAGACCATGAGGAAAATGTCTCCAGACCATGTCAGAGACCTTCATGGCAGCCCCTCCCATCACAGGCCTGGAGGCCCAGGAGGAAAAAGTGGTTTCATGGGCCAGGCCCAGGGTGCCCCTGCTATGTGCAGCCTAGGGACTTGGTGCCCTGTGTCCCAGCCACTCTAGCTGTGGATGAAAGGGGCCAACACAGAGCTCAAGCTGTGGCTTCAGAGGGTGGGAGCCCCAAGCCTTGGCAGCTTCCATGTGCTGCTGTGCCTGCTTATGCACAGAATTCAAAAATTGAGGTTTGGAAACCTCTGCCTAGATTTCAGAAGATGTATGGAAAAGCCTGAATGCCCAGGCAAAAGTTTGTGGCAGAGGCAGGGCCCTCATGGAGAACCTCTGCTAGGGCAGTGCTGAAGGAAAATGTGGGATCGGAGCACCCTCACAGAGTCCCTACTGGGGCACTTCCTAGTGGAGCTGTGAGAAGAGGGCCACCATTTTCCAGACCCCAGAATGGTAGATCCACTGACAGCTTGCACCGTGTACCTGGAAAAGCTGCAGACACAACACCAGCCCATGAAAGCAGCCAAGAGGGAGGCTGTACCCTGCAAAGACACAGGGGCGGAGCTGTCCAAGACCATGGGTACCCACCTCTTGCATCAGTGTGACCTGGATGTGAGACCTGGAGTCAAAGGAGATCATTTTGGAGCTTTAAAATGTGACTACCCTGCTGGATTTTGGACTTGGATAGGCCCTGTAACCCCTTTGTTTTGGCCAATTTCTCCCATAAGGAATGGCTGTATTTACCCAATACCTGTACCCCATTGTATCTAGGAAGTAACTAGCTTGCTTTTGATTTTACAGGCTCACAGGTGGAAGGGACTTGCCTTATCTCAGATGAGACTTTGGACTGTGGACTTTTGGATTAATGCTGAATTAATTGGATTAATGCTTAATTGAGTTAAGACTTTGGGGCACTGTTGGGAAGGCATGATTGGTTTTGAAATGTGAGAACATGAGATTTGGAGGGACCGGGGGTGGAATGATATGGTTTGGCTATGTCCCTACCCAAATCTCAACTTGAATTGTATCTCCCAGAATTCCCATTTGTTGGAGGGACCCAGGGGGAGGTAATTAAATCATGGGGGTTGGTCTTTCCTGTGCTATTCTTGTGATAGTGAATAAGTCTCATGAGATCTGATGAGTTCATCAGAGGTTTCTGCTTTTGCTTCCTCCTCATTTTTTTCTTGCCACCACCATGTAAGAAGTGCCTTTTGCCTCCTGCCATGATTCTGAGGCCTCCCCAGCCATGTGGAAATGTAATTTCAATTAAACCTCTTTTTATTCCCAGTTTCAGGTATGTCTTTATCAGCAGTGTGAAAATGAACTAATACACACAGGAAACCATTCTTCCCTCCTAGGTCTCTGGGCCTGTGATGGGAGGGGCTGCCACAAAAGTCTGTGAAATGCCTTTGAGGCCTTTTCCCTATTGTCTTGGCTAATAACATTGGGGTCCTCTTTACTTATGAAGCTTTCTGCACTCAGCTTGACTTCCTCCCCAGAAAATAGATTTATCTTTTCTTTTTTTTTTTTTTTGAGACGGAGTCTCACTCTGTGGTCCAGGCTGGAGTGCAGTGGTGTGGTCTCCGCTCAATGCAAGCTCTGCCTCCCGGGTTCACACCATTCTCCTGCCTCAGCCTCCTGAGTAGCTGGGACTACCGTTGCCTACCACCAAGCCCAGCTAATTTTTTGTATTTTTAGTAGAGATGGGGTTTCACCGTGTTAGCCAGGATGGTCTCGAGCTCCTGACCTCATGATCCGCCCACTTTGGCCTCCCAAAGTGCTGGAATTACAGTCATGAGCCACTGCTCCCGGCCAAAAATAGGTTTATCTTTTCTAATGCATGGCCAGGCTGCAAATTTTCCAAACTTTCACTCTGCTTCCCCTTTAAATGTAAGTTTTAGTTTTAGATCATTTTTTTACTCACACATATGAGAATAGATTGTTAGAAGCAGCCAGGTCACTTTAAAGGCTTTGCTGCTTAGAAATTTCTTCCACCAGATACCCTAAATCATCACTCTCACATTCAAAGTTCCACAGATCCTTAGTACAGGGGCACCATGCCTCCAAGTACTTCGCTAATGCATAACAAATGTGACCTTTGCTTCAGCTCCCGATAAGTTCCTCATTTCCATCTGAGACCTCCTCAACCTGACCTTCATTGTTCATATTACTATCATTATTTCAGTCACAATCATTTAACAAGTCTCTAAGTTCTAAATTTTCCTTTATATTCCTGTCTTCTTCTGAGCCCTCCACTCTCTTCCAATTTCTGTCCATTACCCAATTCCAAAGCTTCTTCCACATTTTCAGGTATCTTTATTGCAATGCCCCATTCCTTGGTACCAATTTTCTATATTAGTTCATTCTTGCACTGCTAAAAAGAAACCCCTGAGACTGGATAATTTATAAAGAAAAGAGGTTTAATTGGCTCATGGCTCCACAGGTGTACAGGAAGCAGAGCAACTTCTGCTTCTGGGGAGGCCTCAGGAAACTTATAATCATGGAAGAAAGCAAAGGAAAAGCAGGTGCATCTTACATGGCCAGAGTAGGAGCAAGAGAGGGGTAAGGTGCCACATACATTTAAACAAACAGACGTCAGAGGAACTTGCTATTGCAACACCACCAAGGGAGATGGGGCTAAACCATTCATGATAAACCACTCCCATGATCCAATCACTTCCCACCAGGTCCCACCTCCAACACTGAGGATTACAATTTGACAGGAGATTTGGGCAGGGACACAGATCCAAACCTTAATTCCTTAACCTATATTTTGGTGAAAATTTGCATGTAAATTCCTAGCAATGAAATTGCTAGACCAATACATACCATACTTGATAGATATTGCTAAATTGCCCTGTAAGAAACTGGTACCAATTTTCACATCTATGTGTATTGTATCAGCATTATCATTTCCACATATTCTCATTATCACTGGATATAATCAATTTTATTTTGAGACAGAGTCTCGCTCTGTTGCCCAGGCTGGAGTGCAGTGGCATGATCTCAGCTCACTGCAAGCTCCGCCTCCTGGGTTCAAGCCATTCTCCTGCCTCAGCCTCCCGAGTAGCTGGGACTACAGGCACCTGCCACTGTGCCCGGCTAATTTTTTGTATTTTTAGTAGAGATGGGGTTTCACCGTGGTCTCCATCTCCTGATCTCATGATCTGCCTGCCTCACCCTCCCAAAGTGCTGGGATTACAGGCGTGAGCCACCGCGCCTGGCCCAATTTTTAAAATTGTTACCAATGGGGAAAAATGACATCTCACTCTTGTTTTAATTTTCATTTATTTAATTAGAATTTTCAAGTTTAAAAAATTCTTTGGATTGAATAAATTTTTGGAACCCATTTCAAAGTCTTTTTGAATTAATGTGAACTATAAAAAATTCTATATATTGCATTTATTTAAAACACATAAAAAGCAGCCATCCTGCCTCTAAATCAGTAGTTCTCCATCCTGGCTGCATATTTAAAACACCTGGAGTATATTTTAAAAATACTTTTGCCTGAACCTTATCCCAGACCAATTAAGGCAGAATCTCTGAGGGTAGGGCCTGGCCTTGATATTTTTAAAAAGCTCCCGAGGTGATTTACAAATGCAGCCAAGGTTGAGAACCACTGCTTTAAATGCATTATAATGGATGCTACAAATAGTACATTTAAGAGGTATAAGGTGCTCCAGTGCTGGATGGTACCAGCTGAATGTATAAAAGCACATTTTCCAAGCTGCTTTTTTCTCCAAACAAGAGTCTGACATATTCATGATGGTGAAATGGCAGCCCTGTTTCTCAGCCACCATCTTCTTTCTCCTCTGCTCTGCTGTGTCCCGATCTGTGTAGCCAACATTTCAGTAAGAAATGAGAAACTCACACTTTACAAATTAATAACTTATATGCCCAAACCAAAGAAAGTCACTAGCAGAATGGTGATTAATCTCTTTATTATCAAAGGTATAAGAGCCTCTTCCTGTTGAGCTTATGACTGTTGGCTCATCCTCCAGTGGCAAAAAGGAAAATATCATAAAGAAGGAAAGCCACTGCCACCCTCTATGGAGGAGGCTCTTTAAGGTTTGCCTGTCATTCTTCAGTTTCTCTGGTTCCTGTGACAAGTGTGTCGCAAGTTGTCATTTCATTTGCTGGAGCTAAACCATGATGGATTTTTATGCTGACTCAGCAAAATCTAATAGGCAAAAAGCTAGCTGGGGAAATGATCTAGTTTATTGATTCAATTTGAATTTTCTATGATATCAGGAAAAGATCAGATAATCACAATAACTTTCTGGTTCATGGTTTCTGACTGTATTTGCATTTTAAAACACGAAATCAGGTAATGTGAATCTGAAAATAATTTTTTAATTTTTATAATTCAATTGCTTTTGATTTCCAGGTTCATACTAATCTCTATTTTCTCCCATTCTCTAATGAAGTTGATTACATTTTCATGCAAAAGTTGTTAATAGGCAATAATTAGAACATAGAAACCTTTTAAGAATACATTGAAGGACTAAAAACTATAATGTTACCATTAATTAATAAGTAAACTATAACAATATAATTTTTGAAAGAGAATTTTTGGAATTTTAGTTTCTCTCATTAATTGAATTTATTGTGGTATGATTTATGTACAGTAAGCTGCACAGATTTAAGATGTACAATTTAGTGAGCTTTCTTCAGCTGTGTACACTTTTGAAGCCACCACAATTAAGATAAATAAATTTTTGTCACTCCTAAAAGTTTCCTCTCTCCCCTGTGCAGTCCCTCCTTCTATCCTTGGCATCCAGGCAGCTTCTGATCTGCTTTCTGTCTCTATGGATTAGTATGCATTTTACTTTTAGATAAATGAGATCATACAGCATGTACTCTTTTTGTATGGCTTCTGTTGCTCAGTAGAACGTCTGTGAAATATATCCAGGTTGTGGTATCTATCAGCATTTCATACCTTTTTGTTGCAAAGTATTATTCCACTTTATGGATGCATTCCAGCTTGTTGTCCATCCACCTCATGATGACTTTTGGGTATTTTCTAGTCTTGAGCTATTGTGAATAATGCTACTATAGGCATTCTTGTACAAGTGTTTGTGTGGACATAATACAACAACATACTTTTAAGATGTTCATGTTAGTGGATATATAGTTTAAATACTAATGTACATATATAGTTTTATTGATTTTGGGGGGTATTTTATAAAAATCAAGCTATGATTTCCATGGCAGATAAGATGATTCTTTATTCACCCAATTGTCTCTGTCCACAAGCAAAACAACTTTCATGTTGTACCTGCACAGCCTTACTGGATGTAACTTACATCACAATGCACCATCTGCTCAAGTGAATGTGGCAACAGAAGTCCTTAACTAATTCTCTCAATGAGGCCAGAATAGTCCCCCTTGCCTGTCTGCCCTCTGATATTAATTGTGATGTGTTAATCTTTCAAGAAGTCACTCCTATTATTATTCTGTCATTATGCTCAGTGGGCCATATGATTCAGCAATCCCACTACTGGGTATATACCCAAAGTAAATGAAATCAACATGCTGAAGAGACTGCTGTACTCCTATGTTCATTGCAGCATTATTTATAAAGGCCAAGATATACAATCAACCTAAGTGTCCATCAATGGATGAATGGATAAAGAAATTGTGGTATATATACATAGCAGAATACTATCCTGCCTTTAAAAAAGGAGAAAATTCTTCCACTTGCAACAACATGGACAGACCTGGAGGATATTATGTTAAGTGAAATAAGGTAGGCACAGAAAGATAAATATTGAATGATCTCACTTTTATGGGAAATCTTTAAAAGGTAAACTCATAGAAGCAGAGAATAGAATGGTGATTACCTAGGACTGTGGCAGCAGAGTGGATCAACGGAGTAGTTGGGGAGATGGTGAAAAGGCACAAAATTTCAGTTAGACAAGAGAATTAAGTTTAAGAGGTCTATTGTACAACGACGTGACTATAGTTAAAAACAATCTATAGTATTCTTGAAAATTGCTAAGGGAGTAGATTTTGTGTTTACTCAGAACAACAAATTGTAAGTATATGAGGTGATGCATATGTTAATTAGCTTCATTTACCCATTTCGCAGTGTGCACACATTTTAAAACATCATCTTTCACATCATGAATATATGCAATTTTGTCATTTAAAATAAAAATTTTTAAAAAACATGTTACTATATGCAAAAAAAAAAAACCCAAAAAACAAAACTACAAAAAGAATGCTCAATAGTATCTCTGTGCCACTTCTCTATCTGATATACAAAACCCTCCATGGGGGGAGGAGCCAAGATGGTCGAATAGGAACAGGTCTGGTCTACAGCTCCCAGCGTGAGCGATGCAGAAGACAGGTAATTTCTGCATTTCCATCTGAGGTACTGGCTTCATCTCACTAGGGAGTGCCAGACAGTGGGTGCAGGTCAGTGGGTGCAGTGCACCATGCACGAGCCGAAGCAAGGCAAGGCATTGCCGCACTCGGAAAGTGCAAGGGGTCAGGGAGTTCCCTTTCCTAGTCAAAGAAAGGGGTGACAGACGGCACCTGGAAAATTGGGTCACTCCCACCCGAATACTGCGCTTTCCCAATGGACTTAAAAATCGGTGCACCAGGAGATTATATCCCACACCTGGCTCAGAGGGTCCTACGCCCACGGAGTCTCGCTGATTGCTAGCACAGCAGTCTGAGATCAAACTGCAAAGCAGCAGTGAGGCTGGGGGAGGGGCACCCGCCATTGCCCAGGCTTGCTTAGGTAAACAAAGCAGCCAGGAAGCTCGAACTGGGTGGAGCCCACCACAGCTCAAGGAGGCCTGCCTGCCTCTGTAGGCTCCACCTCTGGGGGCAGGGCACAGACAAACAAAAAGACAGCAGTAACCTCTGCAGACTTAAATGTCCCTGTCTGACAGCTTTGAAGAGAGCAGTGGTTCTCCCAGCACGCAGCTGGAGATCTGAGAACGGGCAGACTGCCTCCTCAAGTGGGTCCCTGACCCCTGACCCCTGAGCAGCCTAACTGGGAGGCACCCCCCAGTAGGGGCAGACTAACACTTCACACAGCCCGGTACTCCTCTGAGACAAAACTTCCAGAGGAACGATCAGACAGCAGCATTCGCGGTTCACGAAAAACTGCTGTCTTGCAAACACCGCTGCTGATACCCAGGCAAACAGGGTCTGGAGTGGACCTCTAGCAAACTCCAACAGACCTGCAGCTGAGGGTCCTGTCTGTTAGAAGGAAAACTAACAAACAGAAAAGACATCCACACCAAAAACCCATCTGTACATCACCATCATCAAAGACCAAAAGTAGATAAAACCACAAAGATGGGGAAGAAACAGAGCAGAAAAACTAGAAACTCTAAAAAGCAGAGCACCTCTCCTCCTCCAAAGGAACGCAGTTCCTCACCAGCATTGGAACAAAGCTGGACGGAGAATGACTTTGACGAGTTGAGAGAAGAAGGCTTCAGACGATCAACCAACGAGCTACAGGAGGAAATTCAAACCAAAGGCAAAGAAGTTAAAAACTTTGAAAAAAATTTAGACGAATGTATAACTAGAATAACCAATACAGAGAAGTGCTTAAAGATGCTGATGGAGCTGAAAGCCAAGGCTCCAGAACTACGTGAAGAATGCAGAAGCCTCAGGAGCCAATGCGATCAACTGGAAGAAAGGGTATCAGTGATGGAAGATGAAATGAATGAAATGAAGCGAGAAGGGAAGTTTAGAGAAAAAAGAATAAAAAGAAATGAACAAAGCCTCCAAGAAATATGGGACTATGTGAAAAGACCAAATCTGTGTCTGATTGGTGTACCTGAAAGTGACGGGGAGAATGGAACCAAGTTGGAAAACACTCTGCAGGATATTATCCAGGAGAACTTCCCCAATCTAGCAAGGCAGGCCAACATTCAGATTCAGGAAATACAGAGAACGCCACAAAGATACTCCTTGAGAAGAGCAACTCCAAGACACATAATTGTCAGATTCACCAAATTGAAACAAAGGAAAAAATGTTAAGGGCAGCCAGAGAGAAAGGTTGGGTTACCCACAAAGGGAAGCCCATCAGACTAACAGCAGATCTCTTGGCAGAAACTCTACAAGCCAGAAGAGAGTGGGGGCCAATATTCAACATTCTTAAAGAAAAGAATTTTCAACCCAGAATTTCATATCCAGCCAAACTAAGCTTCATAAGTGAAGGAGAAATAAAATACTTTACAGACAAGCAAATGCTGAGAGATTTTGTCACCACCAGACCTGCTCTAAAAGAGCTCCTGAAGGAAGCGCTAAACATGGAAAGGAACAACCGGTACCAGCCGCTGCAAAATCATGCCAAAATGTACAGACCATCGAGACTAGGAAGAAACTGCATCAACTAACGAGCAAAATAACCAGCTAACATCATAATGACAGGATCAAACTCTCACATAACAATATTAACTTTAAATGCAAATGGACTAAATGCTCCAATTAAAAGGCACAGACTGGCACATTGCATAAAGAGTCAAGACCCATCAGTGTGCTGTATTCAGGAAACCCATCTCACATGCAGAGACACATAGGTTCAAAATAAAAGGATGGAGGAAGATCTACCAAGCAAATGGAAAACAAAAAAAGGCAGGGGTTGCAATCCTAGTCTCTGATAAAACAGACTTTAAACCAACAAAGATCAAAAGAGACCAAGAAGGCCATTACATAATGGTAAAGGGATCAATTCAACAAGAAGAGCTAACTATCCTAAATATATATGCACCCAATACAGGAGCACCCAGATTCATAAAGCAAGTCCTGAGTGACCTACAAAGAGACTTAGACTCCCACACATTAATAATGGGAGACTTTAACACCCCACTGTCAACATTAGACAGATCAACGAGACAGAAAGTTAACAAGGATACCCAGGAATTGAACTCAGCTCTGCACCAAGCGGACCTAATAGACATCTACCGAACTCTCCACCCCAAATCAACAGAATATACATTTTTTTCAGCACCACACCACACCTATTCCAAAATTGACCACATACATGGAAGTAAAGCTCTCCTCAGCAAATGTAAAAGAACAGAAATTATAACAAACTGTCTCTCAGACCACAGTGCAATCAAACTAGAACTCAGGATTAAGAAACTCACTCAAAACCACTCAACTACATGGAAACTGAACAACCTGCTCCTGAATGACTACTGGGTACATAAGGAAATGAAGGCAGAAATAAAGATGTTCTTTGAAACCAACGAGAACAAAGACACAACATACCAGAATCTCTGGGACACATTCAAAGCAGTGTGTAGAGGGAAATTTATAGCACGAAATGCCCACAAGAGAAAGCAGGAAAGATCCAAAATTGACACCCTAGCATCACAATTAAAAGTACTAGAAAAACAAGAGCAAACACATTCAAAAGCTAGCAGAAGGCAAGAAATAACTAAAATCAGAGCAGAACTGAAGGAAATAGAGACACAAAAAACCCTTCAAAAAATTAATGAATCCAGGAGCTGGTTTTTTGAAAGGATCAACAAAATTGATAGACCGCTAGCAAGACTAATAAAGAAAAAAAGAGAGAAGAATCAAATAGATGCAATAAAAAATGATAAAGGGGATATCACCACCGATCCCACAGAAATACAAACTACCATCAGAGATTACTACAAACACCTCTACACAAATAAACTAGAAAATCTAGAAGAAATGGATAAATTCCTCGACACACACACTCTCCCAAGACTAAACCAGGAAGAA
Organism: Homo sapiens; assembly: GCF_000001405.40. Classification (NCBI taxonomy): domain Eukaryota; kingdom Metazoa; phylum Chordata; class Mammalia; order Primates; family Hominidae; genus Homo; species Homo sapiens. Next base: position 133,002,217 of record NC_000003.12, on the reverse strand, counting down.
GTTGAATCTCTGAATAGACCAATAACAGGAGCTGAAACTGTGGCAATAATCAATAGCTTACCAACCAAAAAGAGTCCAGGACCAGATGGATTCACAGCCGAATTCTACCAGAGGTACAAGGAGGAACTGGTACCATTCCTTCTGAAACTATTCCAATCAATAGAAAAAGAGGGAATCCTCCCTAACTCATTTTGTGAGGACAGCATCATCCTGATACCAAAGCTGGGCAGAGACACAACCAAAAAAGAGAATTTTAGACCAATATCCTTGATGAACATTGATGCAAAAATCCTCAATAAAATACTGGCAAACCGAATCCAGCAGCACATCAAAAAGCTTATTCACCATGATCAAGTGGGCTTCATCCCTGGGATGCAAGGCTGGTTCAATATATGCAAGTCAATAAATGTAATCCAGCATATAAACAGAACCAAAGACAAAAACCACATGATTATCTCAATAGATGCAGAAAAGGCCTTTGACAAAATTCAACAACCCTTCATGCTGAAAACTCTCAATAAATTAGGTATTGATGTGACGTATCTCAAAATAATAAGAGCTATCTATGACAAACCCACAGCCAATATCATACTGAATGGGCAAAAACTGGAAGCGTTCCCTTTGAAAACTGGCACAAGACAGGGATGCCCTCTCTCACCACTCCTATTCAACATAGTGTTGGAAGTTCTGGCCAGGGCAATTAGGCAGGAGAAGGAAATAAAGGGTATTCAATTAGGAAAAGAGGAAGTCAAATTGTCCCTGTTTGCAGACGACATGATTGTATATCTAGAAAACCCCATTGTCTCAGCCCAAAATCTCCTTAAGCTGATAAGCAACTTCAGCAAAGTCTCAGGATACAAAATCAATGTACAAAAATCACAAGCATTCTTATACACCAATAACAGACAAACAGAGATATAAATCATGAGTGAACTCCCATTCACAATTGCTTCAAAGAGAATAAAATACCTAGGAATCCACCTTACAAGGGAAGTGAAGGACCTCTTCAAGGAGAACTACAAACCACTGCTCAATGAAATAAAAGAGGATACAAACAAATGGAAGAACATTCCATGCTCATGGATAGGAAGAATCAATATTGTGAAAATGGCCATAGTGCATTTACAGATTCAATGCCATCCCCATCAAGCTACCAATGACTTTCTTCACAGAATTGGAAAAAACTACTTTAAAGTTCATATGGAACCAAAAAAGAGCCCGCATCGCCAAGTCAATCGTAAGCCAAAAGAACAAAGCTGGAGGCATCATGCTGTCTGACTTCAAACTATACTACAAGGCTACAGTAACCAAAACAGCATGGTACTGGTACCAAAACAGAGATATAGATCAATGGAACAGAACAGAGCCCTCAGAAATAACGCTGTATATCTACAACCATCTGATCTTTGACAAACCTGACAAAAACAAGCAATGGGGAAAGGATTCCCTATTTAATAAATGATGCTGGGAAAACTGGCTAGCCATATGTAGAAAGCTGAAACTGGATTCCTCCCTTACACCTTATACAAAAATCAATTCAAGATGGATTAAAGACTTAAACTTTAGACCTAAAACCATAAAAACCCTAGAAGAAAACCTAGGCATTACCATTCAGGACATAGGCATGGGCAAGGACTTCATGTCTAAAACACCAAAAGCAATGGCAACAAAAGCCAAAATTGACAAATGGAATCTAATTAAACTAAAGAGCTTCTGCACAGCAAAAGAAACTACTGTCAGAGTGAACAGGCAACCCACAAAATGGGAGAAAATCTTCGCAACCTACTCATCTGACAAAGGGCTAATATCCAGAATCTACAATGAACTCAAACAAATTTACAAGAAAAAAACAAACAACCCCATCAAAAAGTGGGCGAAGGACATGAACAGACACTTCTCAAAAGAAGACATTTATGCAGCCAAAAAACACATGAAAAAATGCTCACCATCACTGGCCATCAGAGAAATGCAAATCAAAACCACAATGAGATATCATCTCACACCAGTTAGAATGGCAATCATTAAAAAGTCAGGAAACAACAGGTGCTGGAGAGGATGTGGAGAAATAGGAATGCTTTTACACTGTTGGTGGGACTGTAAACTAGTTCAACCATTGTGGAAGTCAGTGTGGCGATTCCTCAGGGATCTACAACTAGAGATACCATTTGACCCAGCCATCCCATTAGTGGGTATATACCCAAAGGACTATAAATCATGCTGCTATAAAGACACATGCACACGTATGTTTATTGCGGCATTATTCACAATAGCAAAGACTTGGAACCAACCCAAATGTCCAACAATGATAGACTGGATTAAGAAAATGTGGCACATATACACCATGGAATACTATGCAGCCATAAAAAATGATGAGTTCATGTCCTTTGTAGGGACATGGATGAAATTGGAAATCATCATTCTCAGTAAACTATCGCAAGAACAAAAAACCAAACACCATATATTCTCACTCATAGGTGGGAATTGAACAATGAGAACACATGGACACAGGAAGGGGAACATCACACTCTGGGGACTGTTGTGGGGTGGGGTGGCGGGGGAGGGATAGCATTGGGAGATATACTAATGCTAGATGATGAGTTAGTGGGTGCAACGCACCAGCATGGCACATGTATACATATGTAACTAACCTGCACATTGTGCACACGTTCCCTAAAACTTAAAGTATAATAAAAAAAAATTAAAAAATAAAATATATAAAAAAAAGATTGGGATGATTCTGCACAAGCAAAAAAAAAAAAAACCAAAAAACAAAAAACTCTCCATGGGTGAATCTCCATACCTAGGTAGCCAGCATCATTTCACCTAGCTCCCAAACATGACCCAGCCATGTCAGACCAGTCTCTCTGCCATTCTTATATGCCGTCATTGTGTTTCATGAGTGTTTTTCCTGACCCTGCTCTTTTTCTTCCTGTCCAACTTCCTTCAAACCCTCTGCCAGTTCTTACTTTAGTCCCTGACTTTGTGGACTTGGTTATTCTCTAAACTCCTAAAGTCTTGTTATACTTGTTATACTGTGCTGTATACCCTATCACTTACTCTTTAGTTATATCCATATGTATGTATATAATTTATATGTATGTGTATAATTCCATATGTATGTATATAATCTCCTGAATTGAATTTCAATCTCCCTAAGGTTGGGGACTGTATCATTTATATTATATAAATACAAAATGACTGACTGCCTTAGTCCATTTTGTGCTGCTATAAAAGGATACCACAGACTGGGCAATTTATAATGAACAGAAATTTCTTGGCTTACAGTTCTGGAGACTGGGAAGTCCAATATCAAGGTGCTGGCAGGTTTGGTGATTCTGACTCCAAGATAGTGCCTTGAATGCTGTGTCTTCCAGAAGAAAGAAAGGTTTTCTCCTCACGTGGTGGAAGGTGGAAGGACAAAGAGGCAAAGAGGGGGCAGACTCATCCTTTTATAATAGCATTAATCCCACCCATGAGAATGGAGCCCTCGTGGCCTAATCACCTCTTAAAGCTCCCGCTTCTTAGCTCTATTACAATGGCAATTAAATTTTAACATGAGTTTTTGAGGGGACAAACATCTAAACCATAGCAATGACCAACTCACAAAATACATTGGTGTCTGTGTATTCCCCCAAACTTTTAATACTATGCAATTGTCACAATAGACATCAACCAGACTGTCTTAAACTTTACTTTGAGCAAGTAAATATTTACTTCTTTTAATGTGAGATCTCCTTACTGCCTAGTACTTAGGTAAGCTGGACCAAAATTTAGCCGCAGGACCCTGGCTCCTAGTTGTGAATTATTGGAGCCTATACTTGGATAGAATAATGAAATGATGGTTATTGTGAGGGTATTGCAGAAGCACAGGCCAGTAACAGTTAAATCTTTGGAGACCTTTGATGGTCCTGAATCAAACACAGGTGTAGCCATTATTCAGAGACAAGCCAGCAAGAGGAAAGGAGATGCTGATATCAACAACTCATTTTAGCAGAGTGTATCAAGCCTGAAAAGATTTAGAAGGCTATTTTTAAAAGCCCTGCATTTTGTGCCTGATTTATAAGGCAGACACTAAAAATATTAATAAGTATAAATGGTGCTGATCCATGAACATGATGAGCTTTCAAGTTCTGGAGCCACAAGGTGACAGACTGCCATGAAGATGCTTGCATCTTCATAATATCCTGAAGGGATCCAACTTTAAAGAAGAAAACATTGGTATTTTAAATCCCAGTTTGGCATTTAACTGTGTTAAGTCATTCTGTTACATTGGCATCACTTAAATAGCCTTAAAAATAAAAAATAAAATAAACCAGATTGTACTACACATCATAGAAGCTTAATATAGATGCTTTAAACCCAAGGGAAATTATGTCCAATGCAAATTATTTTCCCGATATTGCCTTTCTAAGTTCCGTAATTGCAACTTGCATATAGCTATATTGAAACAGGTCACAGGTTGATATAAAAACAAAGATGACTATTATCAGGGCAAAGGGAAGAGATATGTCTGAAGTAGTGTATCTCTAGGGGTAAGTTAATCAAGGGAAACAAGAGTTGGCAGACAGAGTAGTTTCCAAACCAATTTGCCAACCTATTCTTGCCAGGAAAACCAGGTGCAGTCCTTAACCACATGATTTGGGTACACCATTATAATAATTAAAAATAGAAAGGCCTAAGCATGGTATAGCTACTTTGGAAGAAGTTTGGCAGTGTTTAATAAAGCTGAAGATACACATACATTAATGAACCAGTTTTTCCATTCTTAGGTACATACTTTACAGAAACACATACTTAAGTGCACCAAAAGACTTGTATAGGAATGTTCATTGAAGCATTCTTTGTAATAGCCTCTAACTGGAAACAACCCAATGTCCATGAACTGAACACTGGATAAACAAACTGTGATATAGTTTCACAATGGAATACCACACGATAATGAAAACTCACAAACTGCAGTTGAATCTTAAAGACATAATATTGAGTAAAAATGTTAAATTCAGACATGCCAGAGTATATTGCATGATTTCAAATAACATGAATTGAACTACATTGTTTAGTAATGCATACTTAGGTAGTGAAACAATAAAGACTAGCAAAGATGTGAATGGCATAACAGTAAGAATGGTACGTTTCCTCAAAGAAAGAAGAGCTTATGATAACGAGGGGCACAAAAGAGGCTTGTCTTGCTTGACCTGAATGGAGAACATGAATCCATTTTCCTACAATTTGTTAAGTTGTAAATTGATGTTTTATGCACATTTCAGTATATTTGTTAACATTTCAAAATTTTTTAAAAGGAGGAAAAATGGGAATAAGGTATTTTGGGTTTCTTGACAGAATTATTTTTGACTCACATATTGTCAAGGGAATTTAAGAATAAATTCATCATTGTTTATCTATGGGAGTGTGTTTTAAAGTTGTACCATTGCCTACTTTTTAAATCCTCCTTGAAATTATCTATTTACTCCTGTTATCTAAACCAAGTGATGCTTTTTTCAAACAAAGGTTAATAGGCAAGAATTAGAACATGAAAATCTTGTAAAAAATGAAGAGAAATATAATCTTTGAAGCCATCACTTGAAAGCTTTCTAAAGATTTACATATCTAGATTATAACAAGGACCAACCTGTGAGACTATGAACGCTCCTATGTGCTCTTTTCCTTTTAGATAGATTCATTTCAAATCACTTCCTCCATTACTATCGGAACTCCCTCTGATGGACACCAGCATGAAGACAGCAGGGGTCATTGATCTAGCCATAGGCCTGAGAGAGGAACACTCCTAGACCATCCAGGGCTGCCATCTTACTGAGTTTCCCCAGGCAGCCCTGATTCATGTTTCGATTTCCTCATTAGTAAATTAGGGTCATAACCTTCTTAACCTGCTTTGCTGCCTCAGCATATGGATTCATTATTCAAGGCCAAACAAAATTTTATTTCAGTTAAAAATGTCTACTGTTATGGGTAGATTTTAACACATTCTTGAGAGAAAGTTTTATTTTTCAGCTTGTGTGGTTTTGGCATCTTCACAGAAATTCATTCTTGTATTCATTTTTAAACATGACTTCACTAGCTGTCTCCCCTCTCCTTATGCGTAGATTTCAACACTATCAAGAGATAGTTTTGCTTTTTACCTTCTGCTGGTTTTTTTTCTTTTGGCATTTTCAAGGATTCTCATTTTTTAATACATTATTAAAGTGACTACATTAGCTGTCCCCTTTTCTTTATAAACACCCTGGAATTGCGAATTATATTTGGTGAGTCTGAGAGAGAGCAAGAGAGAAAGAGGGGAGGAGATAGATAGGACAAGCAGAGAGATGTGGATGGTTTTGTAAATGGATGTACTTTCAACTTGAAAGCCTTGGCATGAGACATTATGAGGCCAGAAAAATATGTCACTTTACAACTTTAAATAAGATTTTGACTCTCTGAACATTTTTTTCTGTGCTATTTATTTATGCATCAAATAGAAACAGAGACACTTCTACTCCCTGTCTTTTAAGATAAAAGTAGTAGTGTCAAGCTGTGGGGGATCCAAAGGAAATAAAACTTAGTTACGCAAAATGGATTCAGAGAAATTACCAAAAAAAAAAAAAAAACCTAACACTTTAGTATAGAAAGTCAAGATATTTGATCTATAGAAAAAGCACATGGATCAAAAACAAACAGGCCTAAATTTTCCTTTCTATCTATAACTGTTTTTGAGTCAGGCATCTTTGAGGGTCTGGAGAAAGTTTTAAATGATAGCTCACCCTGAAAAATGTACATAGGCAAAAAAATTGCCTACATTATTAGAGGATTCACAGATACGCTGAAGCCCATCCACCTATAACAACCTTTAGGCTAAAAATCTGAAGCTCTAGAGTAATTCCCGAGGTACGTCCAGCTGATGAGACACAGAAATCAGGAAGCATCCCCTTTCCCTCCTGGATATATGAAACAGGTGTTTTATTAAGGCAGCAGTAAGAAGGAAAGTCAGTCACCATTTTTCCAGCTGTGTTTTCTACCTGTGTGAGCTGTACTCTTCTCATTTTGAAGAAAGTCTTATTCAGTATTGCTTAAGGTGAGCTCATCATGAAAATACCTGGGGAAAAAAGCAAAACAAGAATCTCAACCACTGACCAGCCTCACTCAGGAAAAGTGCACAGCCAGGCCTCCTGGCAACATGGCAATGGGACTCATGGCCTGGGGCCCTGAAGGTCAGAAAGGCCCCAAACATGGGTTCCTGTATTTTACCTTAGGACTATACCTACTTGTGTGACTGCCATTCTCTCTACCTCTATTTTGCTCTCTGGGTCCACTCTTATCATCAGCTCACTGACTCTCTGAATCATAGTCTAGCTCTCTAGATTTTATTGTTTCAGGTGATCACTATTCCCTATAGATAGACTCTCTCAGGGTCAGATTATCCTCCCAGAACTAATTGGCTTTAACCACCTTTGACTTGGAAGAAGTGTCTCAGAATGGGGCTATGAATGGCCAGCCTACTGAAGTTTGTTCTGTCCACTATTTGCCCAAAGGTGCCATGATATTATATAAAACTAACTCCAAGTATATACCTGTGAAGCTAAGACTTTGAGGCAGTTCCAGACAAAATGAAAATTAAATTATGTTGCACCATGGCCCACTATGCACCACCAATGATTAAGCAGCAAGTCTGAGATTGGAGTTCATCATACGGAAAGAGTATTCTCACTGTAGACTCTCAAGGACATTCTTGTGTACAGAATAAGCCTTTTGCTGAAGGAGCTAAACAGTGTTAAGTTTTATTGAAAAATATTAAAATCTTACTCTACTATCAAAGAATGTTCACATTGGATATTTTTCCCCAGTGGACCATCTATTTTCAACCAATAATATAATACCACTGTTTTCCTTAGAGTTAAATGTCATTAGTTGAATTATTCTGATTAAAGTAAAACAATATTAAATGTAACTACAAGGAAGTTCAGTTATATTTCTTCCAAGCAATACATTTGCAGCAAAACTTTAAAAAGTTCTTCAGAAATGGGAAATTTGTATCTTAAAGGTCCATAAGAAATGCAAAGTTTCAATTTCAGGTCCTAATGATTTTGGCTTGTGTCTCCCAGGGTGTGTGGTGGATCAAAAGTTTTATGAGATTCTTAGAGGAGAGAAGAATTTTGTGGTTCAACGAGTTGGGAAACACTAAGCACTCTAGTCTTTATTCTGAGGATTTATAATACCCATCAGCATATTGAAGATACTATATATATCTTTATATCATGTATGTATGATACAATAGTGATACTATCATATGAAGATATGTATAGTATCTTCATATATATTATCTTCATACATATTAAAGATATTAAATGTCTAAAGATACATATTAAAGGTAACCCCTTAGAACCCTTGAGACAAAGAAGCCTGTTTAACTGTATCTAACCCAGCATTTCACATTTCCCACATGTATTTGACCATAACTCTCCTCTCATTTTTTCCAAATGCCTGTTAGCTACCCACAGAAATAGTGTTCTGTGGAACGAACTTTGGGGATTATCAATTAAGGCCAAATTGCATTTAACCTATCACTGGAAAATCACTACATTTAGTGAAAAAAATTTCTGTTTTGAAGCAGTATGCACAAATTGAGCTAATTTTTATTAGCTGTACATTAAAATACCTTAAAGACAAGCAACATATAAGTTGCTATTATTTCCTCATGGTGGGTTAAGGAGATTTTTTTCTTCCCTTCGCTATCTCTTTCAAAATCTTTCCCACGAATATGTGTTGCTTTTGAAATCAGAAGAAAAGACGTTTAAAAAGCTCAAATGACTACTGAACTTTTGGGGAAAATACCATTTAAACTATTTGTCTTTGGGTAGAGATGGAAGTAAGTTCAGGGGTGAAATGTTTCTCTGCGTTTCTCATCCTCAACCCTATCAAGCCTGTACTTTGGCAAATGAAGCATAGGTGGGAAAATGATGAGAGTGTGGAAATACTTGTTAATTCAAGTATTTCCTAGTTTTTGTACCCATTCTGTTAGAAGGGATGGAAATTATGGCTAACAGAGAACTTATTTTGTTTCAAACATTGCCTTGAGATAAATGAATGGTATTTACAGTGCAATAACCCAAAGATCCTTAAGAGAAAGTCAAAATACCTGCCTGGTGTCTAGAAGGGAATTTGATAGGAGAGATTAGCATTTATCAAGGAGAAAGACAGCAAGTGAGGGTTGACAAAGTTTCTTCAGACAAGAGTCAATGAGCCGTCTTGCAACTGCTGTTTGGGGCATTGTTTGCCTGACAGTAATGTTGTGAGTTTACCCCAAACCTTGCTGCCACAGGTAAGTGGCCCAGCTACATATAACAAGCTGAGATAAACTAAAGTTCTCACAAAATTACACTTTACCGCAGTGCCCAGCCCTGGGCTGAATTCTGAGCGCAGTAAAGTCAGCCTTCACCGCTATCCCTGCTCTTTCCCAAACCACAGATGTCTTTGACCTCGTGTCTATCTGTGCATTCCTCCCACCCTGAGGCCAGTCCCTTCCTACAGAGTGCCCTAAAATCTATAATCCAACCTGCTGGCTGTTTTTGTACAGCCAAGAACTAAGAATAAATTTTACACTTTAAAAAGGTTGGAAAACAATCAAAACAGGAATATTTTCAGACACATGAAAATTATATGAAATTTAAATTTCAATGTTCCTAAGGTTTTATTGGAACACAGTCATGCTTGCTTTTTTAACCTATTCTCTATTTCATGTTACAGTGGCAGAGGTGAGTAGGTGCAACAATGACCAAGCAAAATTCATCTTATTGAGCTTCACCAAATTCTGAGAGCTGCCCCTGAAGACAGAGTCCTACGTCAAAAAAGTATGGGAGATTCTTTATGTTATATGCTCAGTTAGAAACGGTTAATGCTCATTAGCTTTGTTAAACTTATACATAGCACTAGGTTAAAAAATAATATGTGGAAAGCAGTGTGGTGATTCCTCAAAGAACTCAAAACAGAACTACCACTCGACCTAGCAATCCCATTACTGAGTATATACCCAAAGGAATAGAAATCTTTCTATGATACCATAAAGATACATGCATGCCTATGTTCATTACAGCACTATTCACAATAGTAAAGACATGGAATCAACCTAGATGCCCATCAATGGTAGACTGGATAAAGAAAATGTGGTACATATACACCATGGAATGCTATGCAGCCATACAGAAGAATGAGATCATGTCCTTTGCAGGAACATGGACGGAGTTGGAGGCCATTATGCTTAGCAAACTAAAGCAGGAACAGAAAACCAAATACCACATGTTCTCCCTTATAAGCGAGAGCTAAATGATGAGAAAACAAGGACATAAACGGGGGGACATAGAAGGTGGAGGAGGGAGAGGATCAGAAAAAAAAAACTAATGAGGACTAGGCTTAATAACTGGGTGATGAAATAATCTGTACAACAAACCCACATGACATGAGTTTACTTATACAACAAACCACGCATGTACATCCGAGCCTAAAATAAAGTTTAAAAAACCACAACAATAACAATAAAGTTAAACCTGGTGTTTCCCAGCCACATCTGAGAATGGTTCCAGTCCCTTCACATAACACCCATGAATATACCTATAAACATCCCAAGAACACCTCTCAGAAAACACTGCTCTGAATCAATTCCATTTTCTTTATTGAAAGACATCTGTCCTGTGTCCATTTCCTCAGGTCCATGCCTGAAAGCTAATACCTTGCAAAGAAGAGAAGGATCTTATCTTACAATCTGAACTATATTTCTTAGTTTACCTATTGTTACATGGTTCTTATGAATAAGTAATCCTCAAATATATAATGAAGGTCATGTCAGTCCCCTCACATATCACATGGCAGTGATGTGAGGATGAATGAAATAATGTACATAAGTTTATATTTTGAACATACTATACAAATTAAAAGCATTATTATCATCTCAAATTAAAAGATCAGCAACAATCTGCTAGAATCTCAACTCCATTTTTCCTCTCTTAACTATTCCTGTATATTACTGCAAAACTTGTTTCCTAAAACTATGCTTTAAAAAATGTCAATTCTCTATTTAATTGCCCACAGTTGCTTCTTATTGCTCAATGCAGTGTTTAAAATTGAATTCTATATAATTATACAGTTCCATAGAGCTGACTTGGGTCCCCTAAAGGTGAGAAAGGTAGTCTTAGATCCTTCATGAGTCTTTAACTGTCTTATATACTAAGATCTCCAAATAATATTTTATTTACAAAAAGATTCAGCTGCTAAAACTATGTTAGAAAAACTAGCATGGCCAAGCTTATCTCTTCTGTGTGATTTTGAAATCTCCAGACTGAATTTTATTTTCCATATCTTTGTAATGGGTATTTTTCCTTCCAGCTGGATATTGATAAGATTGGTTTCCTGATAGGATTGATCAATGCTGCATCCATGCACTATGCTGGGAACTCCAAGCAAGGAGACAGCAGGGAGTGAGGGAATTGTGCAGGACACACAGAGGCCGAAGCAGAGTCCTAAGACGAGGTCAGCAATCATAACTGTAGACCAAACCAAAATGCTGCTCAACTCCTCATCTAAATAGGGGTCAGGTTGCAAGGAGAAGCTGATGGGGCTTGGTGGATTTGTGTGTGTGAAGTTGGGGAAAGAAGGGCAAGACAGTTAGGTAACAGCTAACAGCAGATCTTAAGTTCTAGTGCAATCCAGGCCATTAACCAATACCATGTTAAATGAGGTAACACATGAAAACCACTTACAAAAGTGCCTTATATAGCATGGTCAGTGCTATATAAGTGTTAAGAATTGTTATCATTAGTAGTACTATTGTTATTATTATTATTATTCAGTATTGGGCATGAGGAAAGTAGGAATAAAGTTCTCCAAAAATGTAAGCTAGAATAAGACAAAATGCTAGGCCTATCTTAGTTGATACCTCATCTCTATCTTACCTCTCTACCCTGTTTAGTTCTTTTAAAGTACTTACCACAATTTGCAATTACATATTATTTAGGCTTGGGGGTCTGTTTATGGTTTATAGTCTGCTTCTCCCATTTGATTTTTAAGTTGTATGATACCAAGGACTAGATCAGTTTTACTCCCAACCCTTTAGCCAGTATACAGCACAGTGCCTGGAAAAGTGGGCACTCAATACAGAATGATGAGTGACTGCCTGAATGAATGCCAATTAGGTATAGAGCAGGCTTCCTCCAAGGGCAACAACCTCAGTGGGAAAATTAGGAAAAATCTTTGATGCCCAATATCCCAGATAAAAGGGAAACAGAGTGTCAGGCTGAATTCCCTGGGTGCTTCAATCCTGGACTGTGGATCAGGACAACATATTGCCTAAGGACAGATGGAGCTAGTACCCTGGACATCCAGCTCAGGAAGCTTGTTGAGATACCTGGGAAGCAGTGGCAGCACCATCTTCCAAATTCTCCACCAATATCTGGATGAGTAACTTTGGGTTCTGTGGATCCCTAGATCAGAAAGGAGGAGGGAGAGATGAGGATTTGCCATGTTCTTTAATTCAACCTTATGAGTAATAAGGCAATTATTATTCAGTGCCTTGGAGGTCCCTGAGGTCTCCTTGTCAATAGACGGGATGGGGCTAGGAGAGAGGCTCAAACTGACTAATTTCCTCAAGATCTCCAGATAAACCCTGAGTTACTCTTTCTTTTTTTATTTTATTTTATTTTATTTTTTTTATTTTATTTTTGAGATGGAGTCTTGCTCTGTCGCCCAGGCTGGAGTGCAGTGGCACGATCTCAGCTCACTGCAAGCTCCACCTCCCAGGTTCATGCCATTCGCCTGCCTCAGCCTCCTGAGTAGCTGGGACTACAGGCACCTGCCACCACGCCCAGCTAATTTTTTTTTGTATTTTTAGTGAAGATGGGGTGTCACCGTGTTAGCCAGGATGGTCTCAATCTCCTGACCTTGTGATCCTCCCATCTCAGCCTCCCAAAGTGCTGGGATTACAGGTGTGAGCCACCACGCCCAGCCCTGAGCTACTCTGTCTAATATGCCGTCCTGCTTTTTCAACACCAAGCTCAAGCAGTACAGAATTTGCCTTAGCCTATTTCAAACTCCATTGCCTTTATATAAGAAAATAATTTTGAGCCATGGATTGAACTTTAGTTATACATATATTGAGAGTTTAGGGATGCTAATTATACCCTCCCTGTGATCTGGGTTCTTAATTAGTTGATAAATAACAGCAAGGAACCAACTGAGGCATGGAATAATAGCTGCCTTATTACTCGTAAGTTTGGATTAAAGAACATGGCAGGTCCTCTCATCTGTCCCTCCCTCCTTCTGATATAGGGATACACAGAACCCTAACTTACCCACCCAGTGGAGAATTTGAAAGATGGTGAACCTGATGACTCAGACTTCACTCAGTCTTGTCTCCACAGGAACACAAAAAGGACAATTTCTAACTACCCATTGTATAGATTTTTCCTCAGGCTTTCTTGCAAGGGAGAAAAACTCAGCCCCGTCTGAGTTTCAATGCAGTAGCACCAGCAATTAGCCCTACTTCATTCCTTGGGAGAAAAGGACAAGGGAGTATAGAGTGAGAGATCAGAAGGAAATCCTTGGATATTTCCTTCTTCTGATGATGGGTATGGACATTCTTTCATGAATATATGAGGAGAGGTAACCAACAGCTCTTCTCCAGGCTATTCTTCTCACACACACACATACACACACACATTTGTTCTGGTGAATGTTAGCCACTGTTTTGACATCTGTGGCAGGCTGTATTTTCCAAAATGGCTGCAACAATAACCTCCATCCTATAGGCTCATTTAGAACTTGACATTACTTTTTGAAGAAATGGGGTCTGTGTCTCCTCTTTTAATCTGGGTAGGCCTTTGACTACTTCAACCAATAGATTATGGCAGAAGTGACATTCTGACTTCCAAAGCTAGACCATAAAAATGTCATGATCTTCTATCTTATTCTTTTGAGACATTCTCTCTTGAAATCTGAAGAGCAAAGCTCAAGAAGCTCCTGGAGGATACATGTGGAGAGGAACTGAGTTCCCTGACCCACAGTCCTGGTTGAAATCCCGCCTGACAGACAGCATGAACTTGCCTGTCATATGAGTGGGTCATCTTGAAAGGGTGCCATTTAGTCCCCCATCAAGATGCCCCAGCTGATGTTACATAAGGCAGAGGTGAGCCATCCCTGCCAAGCTCTGCCCAAATTTCAGATTTGTGAACAAAATGAATGATTGTTATTGTTTTTGTTTATTACTTTCTGGGCGTTTTGTTATGCAGCAGTAGATAACTGTTACAACATCTAATCAACATAAATCTTAAAGAGAGGAGCACCAAAGATAAGCCGTGAAAATTAGGGTGAGCCATCTTATGAAACAACATTAATGAATTTGCGTATGGAAGAATACTTTTTCTTTTCATAAAGCAGACCAACTACAGTGCTTCCCCCAGGTTTCAATAATTAAAGAAAGGCGGGGGGAACTACTGCAATTAGCTTCTTTACCTTGAAACTTGGCAAAAAGAATTTTGTTCTGCTAGGGATAATAAGTGAGGTGCAGAATGTCAGACCTGAGCTTAAAACAATTTTTTCAGAGTGCCACAGTGGGAAACAAAACCACCTTCTTCAAACACCTCACTCTTAGTCACCAAATCCTACCCGGACAATTGATTCAAAAGACTAGCTGTAATTTTCAACTTGTGGGACTTCTTCTGAAAGGCCTGCAGCCTCACTCCTGGATGATCATTTGTACATCTCTCTCCCTTGCTTTTCAAATGGCCTTTTAGCGTCGTAAAGGCTTTTGACAGATCAAAAGAGTCACAGAAATAGACAGTGAAAGCACCTCCAGGGTTGGATTGGAAATAATGTTGTGAGTGATTAGAACAAGGATGAGTCCAGTGGTTTAGTGGGAATTCTAGGAGCATCCCAGGTACAGCCCCCTGCATAGACAAGAGTTGAGGAATCTTAGGAAAGTCAAGAAGAGAAGAAGAGTCCATATTTAGGAGCAAGAGCTCCTCTGCATCACATTTTAACCACTGTGAGGCTTGTCATCATAATTTTGTCCAGTGAGAACTGAACTGAGAACTCCCCGTGCCAATTCTTCCCACTTAAATCATCTTTTAAAATCTCTCATTTTTATTCAGATCATTAGTCAGGTATAATGTCAAAATTCTTCTCCTTAATAAATATCAACAGAAAAGGCTTTTTCCGTGTGTGTGTGTGTGTGTGCGTGTGTGTGTGTCTGTGTGTCTGTGTGTTCTGCTCTCAGTTGAAATTTCTCAGTAAACTTTCAAATTTAAGTATAACAAACACATAGAAAAGTGTATCTAAAGAACATATGGAAGTTCACAGAAGAACACACCCATATAACCACAACTGAGATTTTTTAAAAGTAGCATTTCCAGTACCCTGGAAACATCCTTCATGCCACCTCCCAATTATATCAATGCTCCCCAAAGGGTAATCAATATTATGATTCCATCAAAGGTTAGAATGTTATCCCCAATACTATTCCCTTTCTGAAACACTTTTGTGCTCTACATGTTTTATTTTGCTCAGGGTTACTTCTCTCTCTTCCTGATTTCTTTTCTTTATTCCCAGCTCATGGAATGCCATCCTTAGATTAGCACTGGAATTCAATGGCAAATGAGCTGGTGAACAGACATAAATAATTAAATTTCAGGGCTGGAATGGACCTTAGAGATAGATTGTCTAGTTCAAATACAATTTCTCTCAATTTATAAAAGAGAAATCTGTGACCCAGGGAGACGAATTGGGTTACCTTTGATCGTACAACTGGTAAATGGAAGTTCAGGTCTATGTCTCTCTCTCTGCTATACAACAATGCCTCCATAACACTCTTCCAACATGTATTTCTAAGGAGGAGGAGAAAAAACAACTACAGTAACTTATGTTAAGCTGGGCCATTATCCTATGAAAGGAAAGCAGACCACTCATACTTTCTCAATGGAGTAGAACCCTTTCCCTTTATGAGTCTCTTTGAAATATTTTACCATATCAGAACAGTTTTTGAGCAGTTTGTCAGAGTTTACCTTTCTCTTTCATGCACTTACTCTCTCATTAATTTAAACTTCATTCACTTACCAAATATCTGTCGAGTATCTATTATGTGTCAAGTAGAGATGTTGAAAAAACAACAACAGTGGGTAAAAGGGACAAACATCCTTGTCCTCATGCAGCTTACATTCCAATAGGGTAGACAGTCAAGAAATAAGACAAATAAGAAAACACATTGTGTGTTAGGTGATGATTGGTGTTATGGAAAAAACAAAGCAGAGGAGTGAATGCTAGGGGTTATGGTGAGGTGAGGCATTCTTTTGAAATAGGTGAGCAAAGGTCGCACTGAGGTGGCATATAATTCAATTCCTGAAGGAAGTGAAGGAGTAAACTAAACCACGCAGATATCTGGGAGAAAAGCATTCTAGGCAGAGGGAACAGCAAATGCAAAGGCCCTGAGGTGGGGCGATGCTCAATGTGTTCTACGAACAGCAAAGAGGCCAGTTTGGCTATTAGAGAGGGGGCAATGGGGAGAGCAGTAGGAAAGGAGGGAAGAGAGGTGACAGGGAGCCGGATTGTACAGAGACTTGTTTACCACCAGAAGAACTTCTTCTTCTCCTCTGAGAACAATGGGGAGTGATTGAGGGTTTGAGCCAAAGAATGGCATGATATGACCAATGACTAAATAGTATCACTTTTGCAGCTTTGTTGAAAATAGTTTTGGGGGAGGTGAGGTGAAAGCAAGGATTCTTGTTAACAGTTATTGCGATAATTAGAGGGAAAAATCTTGGGACCAGTGTGATGACAATGGAGGTAGTGAGAAGTGGTTGGATTTGGGATACATTTTGAAGTTAGGATCAAGAGAATTTGGTTACCATAAACATGAGCAAATCTAAGTGTGGTGGTTTAAAAAAAAAATCAGCTGGAAATCCTTTGCTACACCACTCATCTTGAGGGTCTACGTCTCCTCTCCTTGTGCTCAATGTGATCCAAGTGAGCTTATGACTGTTTACACCAGTAGAGTAATAGCAGTCATATTAGGTGACCTCTGAGGCTAAGCCATAAAGGCCACTCATTTTCTTCTCAGTCTTTGGAAGGCCTGCCTCTTTCTCATAACCTGGATTTCATGCTGTAGAAAATCCAAGCAAAATGACAGGTCAAGGTATAGGTACTCCACTTGATAGTCTCAGTTGAGTCCAGCTTTTGTGTGATTCCAGCCCAAGCAGCAAGCATGAGAGTAAAGAAGCTTCCAGATTATTCTAGCCCTGAGCCATTTAAGTCATCTTAGCTAAGTCCTCAGACATCAGGGAGAAAAGACAAGCAATTCCATCATGCCCTTCTGAATTTAGCACCCAGAGAATCTATTAGCATAACAAAATGTTTCTGGTTTAAGTCATTAAGTTTAGCATGTTTGTTACACGGCAATAGATAACTAAAACACAGACTCCAAGTAGGGGTAAACCTGATTACATCATCATAGAAAACCTACTGGGCAGCTGTCCAAAGTCTAGGCACAGAAATTATGCCATTATTATCCATGTGTAAGTGCATTAGAAGTAGGAAATAGCCCTGGTTCACTATCTCCCACTTACCAGTAATAAACCCCTTGCTAACTACTCAAAAAGCCAGATTGAACAGATGCACTCAGCAATCTGGTTCTACCCTTTATTAGCATTAATTACAGTCATTTTCCTTTTATTGGTTTTATTTTTATTAATATCTCCTCAAACAAGCCAATAAAAAAGAAAGAAAGAAGGAAAAGGACAAATGCCTTCATACATGGGCAATCTTCCACAGGCTCAATGAGTCAGTCAAGCTTAGGCGTGTCTCAAGATAGGCATGACCTGCTCTCCACATATCTAGCACTTGTGCCAGAAACTGGGAGGGACCAAGGATTCACATCAATATGAGAAGCAAAGGACTTCATGTGTGATCTCAACATTGTCTACCAGAATCTGTCACATTTTGGGGTCATCATTCTTGGCTTTGATCAATACAAGTAATAGAAGTGATATTAGGCTATTTAGGCTAAGCCATAAAAGCCATTCATTTTCTCACTGAACTGTGGAAGCAAGCCACTCACCAACTTCTTTGTGTCTAGTTCCTAATGCTGAAAGAAAAAAATCGGCCGGGCGCAGTGGCTCGCGCCTGTAATCCCAGCACTTTGGGAGGCCAAGGCGGGTGGATCACGAGGTCAAGAGATTGAGACCATCCTGGCTAACACGGTGAAACCCCGTCTCTACTAAAAATACAAAAAATTAGCTGGGCGTGGTGGTGGTTGCCTGTAGTCCCAGCTACTCAGGAGGCTGAGGCAGGAGAATGGCGTGAACCCAGGAGGTGGAGCTTGCAGTGAGCTGAGATTGCACCACCGTGCTCCAGCCTGGGCGACAGAGCGAGACTCCATCTCAAAAAGAAAAGAAAAGAAAACTGTACTGAGTGGTGGCAATCAGCTTTATCATATATTCTCAGGACCTAAAATAAGACACCAGACAATAGTTCTGCTAGACATAGAATATACTGGTTCTCTTTCTCTAGACACTTTGTAGTTTGGTGGTTATAGAAAACCATGTTTTGATTCATCCATCCATCATCCAAGAGATGCTTAGATCAGGAAACTATGTTAGGCTCTTCAGTAAAGGCAAGAAATACGGAGATGAAGATAGGACATGACTCATTTTTCAAGGCTCAGCCTAAATACCACTCTCCTTCATTAAAGTTGTAGTAACAATGCTGTATGCTCACCCAACTCATTTTATTTTTCACCTGAGCTCTCAGGAAAACTTCCCAACTTCCTGTACAGCTAAATTTGGGTCATGTGACTAAGTTCTGGCCAGTGGAAAATCTGGCAAATATGATGTCTGCATATCCAGCCTAGCCCATAAATCCTCTGGGCAGTGTTCCTTCTGTGGTAACCTTAGAGGCCATGTGTTGAAGGTGGTGAGCTCATGCAAAGCTGAGTCCCTGAATGACCCTAGGAGCAAACTGTCCTTCTGGCCACATTGACTGTGGCAGGATCAGACAGCTAACTTTTTATTTTGTGAAGCCACTAAGATCTAAGTTGTTTATTTCATTATTGTCTTCCTCCCCACCCACCTTTACCAAGACTAATACTAAAATTTCTTTAATTGCCACACTATTCAAGGTCCACTCAAAAGATAGAATTCATGCCAGATTTTCTTTTAATTGTGGTAAAATACACATAAAATTTACCATTTTAATCATTTTAAGCATATGGTTCAGTAATATTGAGTCTATTCACATTGTTGCACAACTAATCTGCAGAACTTTTTCACTTGCAAAGCTGAAATATATACCTATTAAACAACAACCTTCCATTTTCCCATGCCTCAGCCTCTAGAAACCACCATTCTACTTTCTGTCTCTGAGTTTGACTATTCTAGATTCCTATAAGTGGAAACATGCAGTATTTGTCTTTTTGTGACTAGCTTATTTCATAGCATAATGTCCTGAAGCTTCATCCATGTTGTAGCATTTGTCAGAATTTCCTCCCTTTTTAAGGCCAATTAATATCCCACCGTAGGTACATACCACGTTTTGTTTATCTATTTGTCTATTAATGGATGCTTGGGTAGCGTCTACCTCTTGGCTATTGTGAATAGTGCTGCTATCAATATGGCTGCTATCAATATCTCTTTGAGATCCCCTCTTTCAATTCTTTTGGCTATACACCCAGAAGTGGAATTGCTAGATCATATGATAACTCTATTTTTAGTTTTTTGAGGAATCATCATACTGTTTTCCACAGTGGCTGCCATTTTACATTCCCACCAACAGTGCAAAAGGATCCAATTTCTCCACATTCTTGCCAACATCACACTAGTTATTTTGAACAGAGAATTTAATATACAGAATTGTTAACTAGGTAACTGAAAGAGTAAAAAGGGAATACTAAGGTTTCAAGAACATAGCAAATGTGGGAGGCAGCTAACACCCCTAGGGCTGAGGGAACAAAGGGAAAAGGTTGGAATTATTAAAATGTAGAGACTTAGGGGAGAATCCTGTCAGCTGGGCTCCAGAGCTCTGAGGAATGGGCACAAGTTGGTGCAGGTATCTCTGAGAGGTATCAATGAGGCTGGTTCTGTGATGTTGGAGAGACTGCAAACTGGATTCAGCTGCTGCTACAGGAATAAACTACCATTGTCAAATTGTCACTACCAAGGCAAAGAAGCCTTGCTAGGGCAATGCTCACAGGAACAGAAAGCAAACCAGGGAAGCAAATCCCTTTTTCCTTTTCCAATCTTGCAGTCAGTCTCTAGTGCCCACTATTGGCAGAGCCTACAAGGGAGCAGTTGAAAAGCAGAAATGAAGTTTGCAGAGTCCCAGTCTCAGCATTAGCAAGTGGAGTGTGGATGGGTGGGTTGGAGCTAAGAGGCAATAACTTAGTAGCTGGCACACCACGCCAGGGAGTACTTCTCTCTGTACAGCACTCTCAGCACTTTGCCTGCTTTCTTTTATGGCACACATCACTTTCTACTGTGAATCAAAGTTTTTTGGTTATGCCTTAACTCTGATTCAAATATAAATTCCTTTAAAAGCTAGATCAAGGGCTGATTAATCTCTGTATACCTTCCTCATGTTCCCCAAAGCCTGGCACAATTGATGTACATACTTTGTGTGCAATAATTTTGTCGAATGAATTTGATCCGAAGTGAATGAAAGGGTAGTGTTTATAAGGGAGTAGGATGGAACACTGACGAAGCCCAACTATACTGAAAGTTGCCGCTAATTTGTGGATTAAATAGAATTTGGACTAAGAGATCCTAAAAAATGCTTGTGAAAAGTAGAGTTGCACCAGCTTTGTGGAGGTGCTCTGAGACTTGACTGAAGGTGTGAGAAAAGCTTGCAGTTATTCTAGTATTGGCTATAAACTCTGGCAATTGGAGAGGTGAAGAGTGAGAAAATGGGGCCTCTCCCAGGGCCTTCAAAGGCAAACCTGGTCTCCCCAGAATCTCTTCATACCCTATGCAGAATATTCTAGACCAGTTCTGATTCTCTATTCAGTAAGATCTTGGAGAGTTGATGGTCCAGTTATTATTTCTGCATAGCTAATTATTCCCAGACTTGGTGGCATACCAACAACAACTGTTTTGTCAAGTTCATGAGTTATGTGGGCCAGGAATTTATGAAGCAAACGGTAGAAATGGCTTTGCTTGAGGATGTCTGGAGTCTGCGCTAGGAAGATTCTATGGGTGGGGGAGACTTCATGGGTGGGAGCTAAAGTAATCTGGAGTCATCTTCACAGACATATCTGGTGATTGATGCTGACTATCTACTGGGACCACAGGTAGGGGCTATTGACTGGACTACTTACCTGTGGCCTCTCCATGTGACTTGGGCTTCCTCCCAACATGGCAGCCTCAGAAGATTCAGGCTTCTTATGTGGGGGCTCAGGACTCCACAGCAAGTGATGATAGTCTGGGAGCTGTTATGTCCTAGCCTCAGAAGTTATGCAGTGCCACTTCCACTTCATTCTCTTGGTTACAACTGAGTCACAAGCTTACTCATATTTAAGGGGAGGACTTAATGAATAACAATATGATCAATTGAAGAAAATCATGTGGGATAGGAAGCATTGTTATGGGCATCTTTGGAGAAGATTTATTTCTATTAAATCTGTTCTCCATATTTTCCAAATGAGGATGCCGAGGTCCAGAGAACTTGGGAAGCAGCTTGCAAGGGTCCTTATGGGCTACCCCAACAAAGTACCACAAACTGAGCGATTTAAAACAAGAGAATTTTGTTGTCTCATTGTTCTGAAGGCTAGACATCCAAAAGGTGACAGCAGAGTAACTCTAGGGAAAAAGTCTTTCCTTGCCTCTTCTGAGCTTCTGGCAGTTCTCAGCAATCCTCAGAGTTGCTTGTATTAATAGATGCATGACTCCGTTCTCTGCCTAGCATGCTTTTTGTGTGTCACCACATATCTTACCCCTTTGTGTATGTGTCTTCCAGGTTTCCCCTTTATATAAGGACATCAGTCATACAAGACTAGAGGGCATCCCAATAACCTTATTTTAACTAGATTACTTCTACAAAGACCCTATTTCCAAATTAGGTCACATTCTGAGGCACTGGGGATTCAGACTTCAATATGTCCTCCCTTTTTTTGATGGGGGTACAGTGTTCAGTTCATAGCACCATGCTTTATGAAACCCATGGAACAAGGAGAATTTAGAGATTTATCTTAGGTAAGGCTGAGAACCACAAGCAGCAGCTATGCCGAGGAAATTTCTCTGCCAGGTAAATTTGGGCCAAGGCTCTGAAGGTGTTTCAAAGAGAAAAAGAGACTGGGATTGTTTGAACACACTGGCTTTATGTTAATGAAATATTCATGACTGGGCCAAAATAAATGCTGGACAGTGAGTGCCATCAGAGAGATCTGAGTAATTCCAGTGAGAGATCAGATGCTGGAGCCAATTCTCCCTCTTCCATAGCTAGAGGGTAATAATTAAACTGCAGAGGCAATTCAGGCTGAGTAGAGCCAGCTTGGCTGACATATACTCCACTGACAAGTATTTTGGGCTGGTAGAGGAGATGAATAAAGGAGAGGCTGTTCTCTTATCCCTGCCTTTGAATTTTGAAAGGTAGCTTTCTTTCCATCCAAACGGTGATGTGAGGCAGATAATATAAAGATAGTTAAAACTTTAACAATACTAAAAAGAGCCCTGGATTTGTTACAGGAAAGGGGTCCCAATCCAGACCCCAAGAGAGGGTTCTTGAATCTCGCGCAAGAAAGAATTCTGGGCGAGTCCTTAGAGTAAAGTGAAAACAAGTTTATTAAGAAAGTAAAGGAATAAAAGAATGGCTACTCCATAGAGCAGACCTGAGGGCTGCTGTTTGCCCATTTTTATAGTTATTTCTTGATGATATGTTAAACAAGGGGTGGATTATTCACGCCTCCCTTTTTTAGACCATATAGGGTAACTTCCTGATGTTGCCATGGCATTTGTAAACTGTTATGGTGCTGGTGGGAATGTAGTAGTGAGGATGACCCGAGGTCACTCTTGTGGCCATCCTGGTTTTGATGGGTTCTAGAGTTGGCTTCTTTACTGCAACCTGTTTTATCAGCAAGGTTTTTATGACCTGTATTTTGTGCTGACCTCATGTCTCATCCTGTGACTTAGAATGCCTTAATCATCTGGGAATGCAGCTGAGCAGGTCTCAGCCTCATCTTACCTAGCCCCATTCAAGATGGAGTTGCTCTGGTTCACATGCCTCTGAAATATTTGAAGGAAACTGTATTTTTCTTTATCCGTCAGTGTATCCTTTCCTTCAGAATTTGGAGGAATATAAAGTAATTTATATTACTCACCAATAACAACATCAGAAAAAGCAAGAATTATTACTATTTCTTGAGGGGGTAGCAGAGCCCACACACTGTTGAGCAATTTGTATGTACCATCATAACTTTGCTATGGTATTTTGCTCAATCCTTTTAGTGTTTTCTGCACACAGAGTTCTTATATAGGTTTTACTTTTTAAAACGGCATCCCTTTTGTTGAAGGGCTGCCCTCAGGCTACTGGAGGCTGCATTTCTGGCTACAAAGGGGAACTGAAAGTGCCTGGGAATTTACACAAATGTGGGGCAGACTTTAATGACTTACAGGTGTGGGAATATAAACACTCATGGGGGATAGGTACGGAGCTCTCTTGTTCCTTCTCTGTGTTGTTGTCTGCACCCTTTTCCTGAGAAACCCTATGGGGTTGAAACAAAGTTAATCTCTATGAGACTTGGCTTAATACCCTACCCTTGCTTGGCTTTCAATCCCTACCTGTCTCAATTTCTCATTCCTCTACTGTTTTTTCCTGATAACATATCTTAATAAATAATTTCCATGCACATTCTGATTTCACGGTTTGCTTCAGGGGGCTCACCTTTAAATACCATCTTTTCTAATCTTTACAACAACCTAATGAGATAGGCAGGATCAACCCCATTTCACAAAAATGGACACTCTTGCCTCTAAAGGGGCTACCCCAAATCAAGAAAGTTAGCTGTGCAGATTTTCAAACCAGTCCTCTCTCCGCTATATCCTCAAAGCTACAACTTGTCTTACTTCCTTTTCCACCTCTTAATTGTCTTGGGCTTTCCCAAATTTCTCCACATATGAGGTCTTGATGTTCCTATTATTTCCTCTTCCTGGACTTGCCAAACCCGGGTTTTTGTTATTACAGTGAATAGGATAGAGATGGTCTTCTTCATGCTCCCGTCGCATGGCATAATGTAGTGGATTAAGAAGAGCCCCAAATTCTTTGACACCCCTCCCATTGAAGGCTGGGGTCTATCTACCCTCCCCTTAATTCTGGGATGGTCCATGACAGTTGTGACAAATACTTTATGGTAAATATGATCTGGGACTAGCTTGTAAAAGGACTGGCAGTTTCTGCCTTAGTCTTTTGGAACCCAGAGCCTCCATGTAAGAAGAGACTTCCAGGATATTAGGAAGCCCAAGTTAGCCAGTGGAGACGTCATGTGGCAACAGACATGTTTAACCTTTAGAATTGTCCCAACTGAGGCTTCAGGCATTATAGATCAGAGACAAATCACTCCTGCTATGCCTTGTCTGAATTCCTGAACCCCAAAATCCATGATCACTTTTTTAAAGTTGTTTTTATGCCACAAAAGTTTATAATAGCTTTGTTATGCATTGACAGATAACTGCAACACTCAGGCATATCAGATTATCCAGAAAGTGTTGTCAAAACACCAGGGGTTCAGTCTAGGTTTTGCTGCTCACCACACAGAAAGCCAATCACTGAGGCGATGAATGTTGCCAAGGAAGAAGGCTTTAATTAGGTGCTGCAGCCAAGGAGATGGGAGCTCAGTCTCAAATCCATCTCCTTAACTGACTAAAATTATAGGTTTATGTGATGTAACTCTGGGAAGAAATATTAACTATGTATAAGAAAACAGAAACTTGGGAGCCTGAGGAAGCAATCATTAAGAATGAGGGGCCTGGAATTTCATTGTCTCAATGCAATGATCCAGTGTGTTTCAGTTCTTTGATACTTTTTGAGAGGTCTGGGGATCCTTTCCTGAGGAAGGAACTCAGATGAAACAAATGTAAGTTTCAAGCTTTAAGACCAGAAGCGTCAATTTTTATGTTTATCAAAAAGCAACTGTCTGGCTGGGCACAGTGGCTCACGCCTGTAGTCCCAGCACTTTGGGAGGCAGAGGTGGGCAGATCATTAGGTCAGGAGTTTGAGACCAGCCTGGGCAATATGGTGAAACCCTGTCTCTACTAAAAACACAAAAAAATTAGCTGGGTGTGGTGGCAAGCACCTGTAGCCCCAGCTACTTGGGAGGCTGAGGCAGAAGAATCGCTTGAGCCTGGGAGGCGGAGGTTGCAGTGAGCCAAGATTGTGCCACTGCACTCCAGCCTGGGTGACAGAGTGAGACTCCATCTCAAAAAAAAAAAAAAAAAAGGAAAAAAGGAAAAAAAAAAGGCAACCTTCTATAGGACTATTGGCTTGGTTTCAAAGGCATTTGGATTAGCATACAGCACCTGTCTACCATCTCTCAACATCCCTCATGCTGTCATTCCACCTGCATCTCAAACTTCTTCACCCTGGTCTTGGAGTTGGAAACAAAGGAACTCTTTTTGAGCATCATCCACTCATGACCGCATTTCACTTCTAATCTGGCACTTGATCCAAGGTCTGGGTTTTGCCATTTGGGAGCAACTAGTCGTTGGGTAAATGAATGGCTTGGGATCCAGTTTCTTCCCAGAACAGCTAAGCTGTGGCCTTTTTACATTTCAGTTATCCTATAAATTATCTGTAGTTGCTACGGAGCCCTAACACTTTGGGGCATAATGAGATGGCATGTTCTTGTTTAGTAGGAAAGGCACTACTCAAGCATTTGGTTCTGTCTTAACTTTGCTACTCTGCCACCTTGGGCAAGTCACAACTCTCTGAGCTTCATTTTCTGAACCCTAAAATGAAATGATTGACTTGTGAAGCATTTTATGGCCTCCCTAGGAGAATAATTTGTTTCCAGGGTTGGATTTCTTTGGCACTTTGTATATATTCATATTCTAAATTTCATCATGTATAGTATACACATATTTAATTTGTATTGTACAGTACTGGTGTCACGGCAGAAAGCACTGTGTAGCTTGCAGGCTTCAGAACCATTTAGACCTGGGTTTGCCATTTACTAGCTGCATGACCCTGGGCAAATCCAAGTGTTATTTACATGTAAAATGAAAATGAAGATCATCATACCTACCATGTACAGTTGCATTGAGGATCAAGACATAATGAAGAAAAGAAATCAGTAGATAAGTTAGCATTCAATAACTCCTTCTGTCCTTATCCTGAAAGCTTTTCATTTATAAATGATTCATTATATTATTTACTTCTTCATACATTTTAATTGTCCTGAAGCCAAAGTTGTAACACTAAAAACAGTTTTAAAATGCTATCAATGACAACATCCAGAGTAAAAGGACATACACATTTTTTCTGTGAGTTCACGCAAAAGTAAATGTGTGCCATGTCACAGGCAAACATATGCACTACACACACAACTTCTTCCACTGAATTCCAGCCTGCCAAAAAAGACAAATGTTTTGTGCAGACCCAGCAGGCCTCCACCAGTGTTAGTCTGGGGTCATCTTATCCACCCTCAAAAGTTTTTGGAAAGAGATGTGCAAAAGAAGGAAGTGTCAGCTATTTCCACAGTCTACTCAGTAAGCCAAGTCAGTGTGGACCCAATTTCATTTTAGGAACCGTTTGTGTGTCAGTCAGCAAAATAGTGGTCCTGTGTCATCACCAGGAGACCAAGGGGCCTGGAGCCCAGGGCTGGCCCTAAGGATGCTGACCAGCACAGATAACCCCAGCATTTCAGTCCTACTTTGGCTTTGAATCTACTGATCATTAATGCTTCTGAGTTTGGCTCACTGCATCACTGAGAGGCATCTGCCCCTCACTTTCTCCAGGATTAGGAGTGGAAGTGGAGTATCAGAGTCCAAGTCTTACTCATCTCTGATTCTCATCTCTCATAACAAAACCAAGACAGCACTCAATGTGCGTTCAATGAATGAGTGAGTAAATGATACATGTGTAAATTAAATCAACTGGATATTGTTTACCCCACCACTTACATGGACTGCCACCTCTGACATTGTTATTTAGCACTTCTATACTTTGGGATGGAGAGTGGGGAGAAAATATAATTTATGAAACCCCTACTATCTATACACTGTACATTCAGTCACTTCTTTCTTCTAGCAACTCTACAATGAAAAAGGGGAGTTCAGAAAAATTAAGTAATTCTCCTAATCTCCCACTGATAATGGGTGGTAATTTCAGGATTCAAACTCCAATTTTCTGGCTCAAAAGTTCACTATTTCTCCACTATACTGTGACATTTCTTAGAATCGGAGGTGCTGGTTGGTACAGAAAAAAAGTAAATACATAAATGGGTGGGGTCTGTGATCATTGAGTTAAACTGTCTATCTGTTGAATGATATCCAAGCCACTTTGGACAGATGGGGGTCGCTATTCCCGTTACAGATATTCTGGAATAGGAACAACTCCACAAAACTTAACTGAGCAGCCTTTGCATTCCTGGCACCACCCAGGACAGATAAATCAGCCCTCAAGTTGGCTCTCAAGGAACTTCCCAGAAAAGCTTCCTTGACCTCTCTTTTAAGGGAATTATTAAACATGAGTCTGAGCAACATTGTTTTTGTTTTTCCCCAGCATCAGCATCAGAAAAGCAGTAAGTGCAAAAGAAAATGAATTTTATTTGAGACTTCTAATTCATATCAGAGGAATATGCAGACAAAGAGATGGCTATCATATGTGGAACAACAGTTAGAAGGCTGAAATTCCTAAAATTAGTGTAAGTTGCTGGTGACGCACGCCTCGTGAGGCCCCAGACTGCTGACCCGCATGTGCCTCTGTGTCATTTCTCCTTAGCATCGTCCTTTGGCAGGTCGAAGATTTCACCGACCAGAACCCAACAGACTTCTGCCTGGAAGGAGTTTTAAGACCCTTAGTTGCTAAATGTAAGTCCCTGAAAGAACAACACTGGAATGTCAGCAACCCTTACTGGCCCCAAACCATTTCCTTTCTCACCTGAGAAGGTTTAAAAAAATCACAAGGAATATGTGCTGGAGTCAGAAACAATGTGGAAACTCTCCATTCTGAGGGCATTTTTTTCCCCAAGCTGATTTTATTTACTAGAGAGGAGACATAAAGTTGTGAGGTTTCTGGTTTTGATGAAAATAATACAAGAGCAAAAAAGGACTCAGGAATTCAATTTTTATCTGGCTTTGGACATGTCACTACTTCTCTGCTTCATTTCTCATGCCTGGCTTCTTATACTTACCCATATAACATCTGGGTTGATATTTAATTTTTATCCAGAATTAGTTGAGATTCCCAGAAGGACTACAAACGTACAATGTATTTCTTAGACTTCCATGTGTTCCTCCTTTTTCAAATGATTGGACAGGAACATTTCTATAATTTCTAAGGGGCATAAGGGTGGAGGCATCGCATAAACCCTTCAGCTCAGCCTTACTCATTCCTAGAAGTTCCGGACTATTTGTAATCATGCACAGATGCCGCTCCACAGAAGACACCATGTTCTCAACTGGGATGTCATTCACGTGGTTCCTGAGTATAACACATTCCACTTCTGTATCCATTTTCCCAAGACTATATAGAAAGTTGGTGATAAGATGGAGGAATAGAGGGACTAAGCATCTCATGTTCACTGATATGATAATGAGACTTCCCACTGTACTTTTGATGTACAGAATTACAGATTTTGGCTGGCTGCAGGGACTCAGGCCTGTAATCCCAGCTCTTTGAGAGGCCGAGGTAGGAGTATTGCTTGAGCCCAGGAGTTCAAAACCAGCCTGGGAAACATAGTGAGACCCCATCTCTACAAAAAATAAAAAATTAGCCAGGCCTGGTGCACCATGTAGTACCACTTACTTGAGAGGCTAAAGTGGGAGGATCCCTTGAGCACAAGAGATCGAAACTACAGTGAACTCTGTTCACCTCACTGCACTCGAGCCTGTGTGGAGAGGCTGGACACTTGTCTCAGAGCGAGGCCCTGTCTCAAAAATAAAAAATAAAATAAAGAGTTACAGATTTTACAGGCGGACTTTCATGTTCACCTGGTCATTGCCATCACTGACACAATCTAATGAAAGAAGTGGAGAGGAAGGAATTTTGTACATGTTCATCCACCTCTTTCCTCGAATCAGGAGTCACTCAGAGGAAAGGAGAAGAGTAACAGGCCCCACTCCCTAGTCTCAGTATC
The DNA here is from genome assembly GCF_000001405.40 of Homo sapiens. Taxonomy (NCBI): domain Eukaryota; kingdom Metazoa; phylum Chordata; class Mammalia; order Primates; family Hominidae; genus Homo; species Homo sapiens. Next base: position 132,972,915 of record NC_000003.12, on the reverse strand, counting down.
TGCTACTGCTGATGCACTATTTCTCAAGTGTTCAGAAACAGTGAGTTGAGATATATAGAGACAAGCTTCCCATGCAGAATCCAGGTTGTTGGTGGTGAAAAGCACAGTAGACTTATAAGATATGGGAGATTTTAATTCTGGTGCTGGCTGTTTCCAAAACTTGCTGAATAATCAAGGGTAAATTATTCAAGAGCTTGGCTTTCACAAAGGTAAAATAAGCATAATGATCATAATGCTATCTCCAACTGCAAAACCAGAAAAATAGGCTGGAGCCAGATTATGAAAGAAATTGTGCATTACTGAGAATTCTGAGTTCTGTAAATTGAGAAGGGAGATGTTATCATGTTCCATTGGCATAAGCAAACCTCATCCTGGCTGTCATGGACATGACTCAACAAAGGCATCCTTCTTTTTCCTCAGCTACTACATAGCCTGAAAACCACATTGCCTCCTCCATAGTGCCTCCTCCATAGTACCTCCATAAATGGAATGATGGCACAACTTAAGATCCAGTCTAAAAACTTTGCAATCCAGAGAGGATGATGAAGTAACATAGGCTGCTAGCAACATTCTCCAGGTCTGTTCCTGTAAGACCTACAATAAAAGGTAAATATATACAATTGAAATAATTGACGATAATCGAAGAAATGGGAAATGACTTATGCTACAAGGCCCCAAAATTTCAAGTGAGGAAGATCCCTACTTCTCATTTTACAAAACATTATGCATAACTATGACAGGTACTTCTCTGTGTTCCCCAAAGCCTGTTTTCTTTCTCTCTTGAAATTTCCAGACTCCATTACTGTTTGCTTTGTCTATGGATGTGATCCATAGACTTCATTGACTTAAAGGAGTTCATAGACTCAAGATGGAAGAAGTCTGGGTTCTCGTAGGTTCATGCAGAAGGCTGCCCAGCTAACATCTGCATTGGTTTATGATGTGAGTAATAAGTACACTTTTAATTTGTTGAACCACTGAGGTTGGGGGGTTTATTTGTTACAGCAGTTAGCTGAACTAACACACAAAAAAACTTCAGTATGGATTAAAACACAAAATTATAAATGCTCTAGGACACAATTTACAGAAAAGATTTTAAAATGTAGAGGTAGAAGTTTCTAAGTATAACAGTTTAAAAACATGCATTAAATTTGATAAATTTGATCACAATATATTATCATTAATTATAGGTACAATGTTACACAGAAGATCTCTAGCACTTATTCATCTTGTATAACTGAAGCTTTATACCTAATGAACAGCCACACCCCACTCCCCCCTCCCCCATCCCCTAGCAACCACCATTCTCCAGCCCATTTCTATGAGTTTGGCTATTTTAGATACCTCATATAAGTAAAATCGTGTGGTCTTTGTCGTTCGTGACTGGCTCGTTTCATTTAGCTTAATGTCCTCCAGGTTCATCTATGTTGTCACATATGGCTGACTTCCTTTTTTAAGGCTGGATAATATTGCATTGTATATCTTATGTATATCTATACCTATTTTACATTTTGTTTACCTACTCATCCATCAATGGACATTTAGATTGTTTCCATATGGCTATTGTGAACTTGGGAGTGCAGATATCTCTTGGAGGCCAATCACTAATCACTATTCATTTAGATAATAAGCTTTTACATTTGCTTTACAACTATAGGAAGTACAGCGCTAGGTAAACAAAAACTCCCTTTGAAGTTTAAAACAACACCCATATCTGAACTACATATATATTACTGCTATTATTGTCCAGGTTATAATGATGATAATTAAACATTAAAAATAGTCTTTATATTAACTAAAGGAGAAAATAATTGAAAATATTACTCATAAGTTGTATGTAATACTATTTTTAAAACATTGAGAATTATAGTCCCATCAAACTTCAGTTGGGGCAAAAGGATTGTCTCCTCGGTAGCAGCAGTTTCTTAAAATAATAATAAAATATAAGTAATTCCAAAACTTTTTTTTAAGAGACAAAAGGAGGCCTCAAGTTGCTCAGTATGGTTCTAGAAGTGCACTATTTGGCTTGTTTGAAGATTAATCGCAATCAATTTCTTTTCTATTCTAAGGGTGTGAAGCTGGTGGGGGTAGAGGTGGGGTTGAATTTAGAGGAGAAGAGGTATAAAGAGAAGGAGAATAAGGTCCTCTTTGCAGAAATTGCCCCTTGGACTCACCAGCAACAATGAATTCAGAATGGAGAAAGAGATGGCTGAGCATAATCTGGTAGCGTGGTAACACAGATGATACCTGAGGGGAGGGGAGAGGACAGTTCTGTTTTCAAACAAACAACCCCATCAAAAAGTGAGCGAAGGATATGAACAGACACTTCTCAAAAGAAGACATTTATGCAGCTAAAAGACACATGAAAAAATGCTCATCATCACTGGCCATCAGAGAAATGCAAATCTAAACCACAATGAGATACCATCTCACACCAGTTAGAATGCTGATCATTAAAAAGTCAGGAAACAACAGGTGCTGGAGAGGATGTGGAGAAACAGGAACACTTTTACACTGTTGGTGGGACTGTAAACTGGTTCAACCATTGTGGAAGTCGGTGTGGCAATTCCTCAGGGATCTAGAACTAGAAATACCATTTGACCCAGCCATCCCATTACTGGGTATATACCCAAAGGATTATAAATCATGCTGCCATAAAGACACATGCACATGTATGTTTATTGCGGCACTATTCACAACAGCAAAGACTTGGAACCAACCCAAATGTCCAACAATGATAGACTGGATTAAGAAAATGTGGCACATATACACCATGGAATACTATGCAGCCATAAAAAAGGATGAGTTCATGTCCTTTGTAGGGACATGGATGAAGCTGGAAACCATCATTCTCAGCAAACTATCGCAAGGACAAAAAACCAAACACCGCATGTTCTCACTCACAGGTGGGAATTGAACAATGAGAACACATGGACACAGGAAGGGGAACATCACACATTGGGGACTGTTGTGGGGTGGGGGGAGGGGGGAAGGATAGCATTAGGAGATATACCTAATGCTAAATGATGAGTTAATGGGTGCAGCACACCAACGTGGCACATGTATACATATGTAACAAACCTGCACATTGTGCACATGTACCCTAAAACTTAAAGTATAATAATAATAATAATAAAGAAAATCCACTTGGTGAGGGACCACATTGGAATTGGCTCTGGGCTTGATGTTCTGTTGGAAAAGCTGCTCATGATATAGCAACTCTTGATTCATCTTCTGGTGAATGAATCATTCCTATAATTTCAGCACTAACTATGCTTGCTCTTTGTGTTTAGAGCTTTCTTCATTCAAGTCTTATTCTTAGGAGTTATTTCATCCTTAAACTTTTCACAGTTTTCCTCCAGGGTCCAGATTTATGATGGTTCTTCCTCTGGGCTAGTATTCTTCAAAGATGACTACAGTTTTTCATACTCCTTTTGAAAAGGGATAACCCTGCCAAGGAATTCATGCTTTTTTCTGAATTAATGTTAGTAAGCTTTAGGACAAACTGTTTTTCTTTTTAATAAAAAGCTGGCTCTTGTTTTACCTAAATGTTCTGAACAAAATTGAGACTTGTGAAAAACATGATTCTGAAACTGTAGAAGTCAAAGTCCAAGCTCAGGTCATCATGAGGCATGACCACCACCTTGCACAGCTTTCTAAGGATAACCTGGAAGTAAGGCTTTGAGGAGGTTCACAGACTCTCCATGGCACCAACACCTTCTCCCTACTCCAAAAAAAAAAAAATCCACATTCAGCAGCAATTTCTGCAGAGTTTCTGAAGCGCGTACTCCATATGTATCTAGAACACAACCCCCCACATGGCTCCTGGGGTAGACCATCAGTGGAGCTGAAAGAGAGGAAGACAGGTACAGTAAATGATGCACTTGCTCCACAACTGTCCGGTGCTCCTTCATCTTGCTCTCTTAAAAAAAATCTTTTCAAATAGAAAAGAAAATGTTAAAATAAGGAAAAGTGTACTCAGGAGGCTGAGGCAGGAGGATTGCTTGAGCCTAGGAGGTCAAGACTGCAGTGAACTATGATCATACCATTGCACTCCAGCCTGGGTGATAGAACCCTTGTCTCTTAAAAAAAAATGGAAAAGTAGAAATATTAGTTCATTTACTCACCACCTACATTCAACCTTGTTTCTGTTTTAATCCATTTACCCTATCCACCTTGCTCTCATTATTTAATTTTTTAGATGAACCATTTCAAACAAGTTCAAAATAAACCATAGACATCCTGACACTTATAGCATGCATTTCCAAAAACAAAATAATATTCTGCTATATAACTGTATACCCTTATGATACTGTTGTTACTCACTTTTTAGATGAAGAAATTGATCAATGCCAGAAAATCTCTTTGAGGTAGGTAAGGAACCAAAGCTTTAACGTACTTAACTGTTCTGCCCTGTAGGGTGAAGTGATGAGTGACCCTGAGACGTGAGAGATGGGTGAGGAATGGCAGCTCTGAGAAAGCTCACTGAACTGTGGGGCTTACATAAAAATTTTAAATTTCTGTAAGGAAAAAAATATACCAGAAACAAAGTAAAAGGACAAGTGTCAAATTGTGAATAAACATACACAATTTATAAAATATGGTTCAAATTTTAATATTCTTAATATGTAACAAGCTTTCCAAATCAATAACAAAAATGAGCACTTCATCTTTAAATAGAGAAGAATAATTTAGTGGTCATCTTTTGTTTTGCCAGCCTAGTAACCTTCCTTCTCATTTGCATAATTTTCCTTTGGGACAATTCCTTTTACTACCTCAAGAAGGGGCATATGAAAAATTAGAACACCTCACCCCTTGGACACACTGATTAATCCAGGCATTGGCATGTTCCCAATGAGTCCATATTTTTCAGTTGCTGTAAGCTATTGCATATGCTATAAAATAAAAGGAACACCATCAGCCTCCCACCTTTTCTTTCTGGAATTACTAGCTGCAAGGATAATGTAAGCCTAGAGTCACTTTTGCAGCTACAAGAGTGATATGGTTTGGCTGTGTCCGCACTGAAATCTCATCTTGAATTGTAGCTCCCATAATTCCCTCACGTTGTGGGAGGGACCCAGTGGGAAATAATTGAATCGTGGGGACAGTTTCCCCATAATGTTCTTGTGGTAGGGAATAAGTTTCATGGGATCTGATGGTTTTATAAGGAGAAACTCCTTTCACTTGGCTGTCATTGTCTTCTCTTGTCTGCCACCATGTGAGACACGCCTTTCGCCTTCTGCCATGATTGTGAGGCCTCCCCAGCAATGTGGAACTGTGAGTCCATTAAATCTCTTTCTTTTGTAAATTGCGGAGTCTTGGGTATGTCTTTATCAGCAGTGGATAATGGAAAATGGATTAATACAGTGAGGAAAGCTTAAGAAAAGAGATGAGAGAAAGAAAGATTGTCTGTCTGTCTGTCTATCTATCTATCTATCTATCTATCTATCTATCTATCTAATCTATCTATCATGTGATTATACAATTTGAAATCCTGCTTCTAGACTTGCCCAAAAGCAGGTACACCTCCAGGTCCAATAAATCTTGAGTTTGTTGGGTTTCTGTTACTTGCAATCGAAATATAGTCTAACATATTTATTGCTGGAAAATAAGAGAAAAAATTTTAAATATCCAATGGCCCAAATGCCAATATAGGAACAATCTCACTAGCACAAAAAAAGCACAAATTAAAATGAAGTATCTACCAGGTTTAATAACCCAAAGAAAAAGAAAAAAATAATAAAATGAGGTATGTTTTCATATATTATTTTCAAAGATTAAAAAGGCTGATAAGCACTGCAAAAGTACACAAAACATGTATTTGCATAGTGGAAAAGAAAAAATAAAATGAGGTATGCTTTCATGTATTGTTTTCAAAGATTAAAAAAAGCTGATAAACACTGCAAAAATACACAAAACATGTATTTGCATAGTGGTGGAGTTAGTTACCTGAAAAGGTTTCAGAAAGACAATCTGGCAGTATGTGCCAAGAACTAAGATGTGTATACCTCTCACTCAATAAGTCCTCTCCAAGGAAGTGAGACTTAGAAAATAATTGGGACATTTCTGAAATATGTTCTTTGTGGCATTGCTAATAATAGTAAAAAAAAAAAAAAAAAAAAGGAAACATCCTAAGTGCCCAAAAATAGAAGACTAACTCTATAAAACAAATTACACTTAGCCATAAATACTGCTTAGATTAAAGGTATACATGGAGAATGCAGTGGGGGCAAGGAGGCCTGGATGACACACCTGTCAATTTAATCCTCTTTGCCTTCCCTGGGCTAGATTCTGCTTCCTCAGAAATCCTTCTCTTATTTCACTTAGACTTCCTGTTCGATGACAGATGCTATGATTCACCACTTTCCCAAAGTCCCCAAGCTCCCTTGCTATGATCCTTGGTCCAGTGGCTTAGTCTCAACTCACAACTTCTCCCTGGAAGGGGTTCTCAGCATGCTCCGTGGCTGGGCATCCTGAGATCAGAGTCTGCTCTGCAGAAAATGACTGACAAGCTAGAAGCTTCAGCTTCTTCATCATCTACCTCTTAACACCACAGTTAAGACACACATGTACACACAAATAAAGGCGTCCGTATGGCAATGCAGTTTTGAGTGGGGACTGTGGCATCTCACTGCCAGGGTTTGAATCTTGGATCTGACCTTACTAGACACATGATCTTGGGGAATATACTAACTCCTCTGTGCCTCAGTTTCTTCATCTTGAAAACGAGGACAATAACAACATCTGCCTCATTATTCTGAGGGCAAATGAATACATATGCAAAGCATTCAGCACAGCACTTGGCACATAGTTCACTATCAGTACATGTTAATTACTATTACTTTATAGGCACCTGCTTGTTTGCAGAATTGGAAGGCTCATGTAGCATTAGGAAAATTTATGGAGTAATGAAAAGCCAAAGTTAAAGGAGCTCAAGCAAAGAAGGCAAGGTGTCGGCTTATTTAACTGGGGAGTCTAGAGGTTGAGCTCACCTTCATTCTGGTTACATCCAGAATTCAAATGGTGCCACAGGGTGCCAGTTGTCTAAAAATTGGCCTAGTAAATTTTATAATTATGGTTTATGAATGTATGAGGGAGTTAAACTCAGAGTCAATAAGTCAGGATTCAAATTCCAACTTTACTACTCGTCAATGTGTGAATCTGGAGGAATGAATCTCTGTCTTTGAGAACTTGGAGGAAAGTTCCCTACCTGGGTCCTGAGATCCACACCATCATATGGTCATTTTTTCCCTCCTCGGACAGGAGATAAATTAGCAGACTGTGACTGTCATCTAGGAAGGACATGTAGATCCATGTATGTGCTTGTTCCCACAAGATAGGCTACATATCTGCTGAAAGAAAGAACACTAAGTATCATCTATAAATCTCCAATGAAATGGCCTTTTTTTGTTTAGATATCATGCTTTCCTGCTCTTTATGTTTCTATGCAAGAACAGGAAGAAACCCACCCTTCCATGTCCTGAGGGACTTAAGAGAGTAGTGACTGGATGTCCCCAGGGATTCAACGTGTCTGTTCCTAGTGAAGCAAGGAAAGGGATGGGGGCTTTCACTTCTTAGGAGGGGTCTGGCCAGATACATACTGACAATAGTCCTGTCACACTGTCCCCCATGCCCCTCCTTGTCTTTGAGGAGAAACACAGGTCTGCAGTTAAAAACTGTTTAGATAATTGGAAAAAGCCACACACAGACAAACTTGGAAGCTATGTGGGTGATTTCTGGCCATTTGACAGGAAAACCTATTGATCAATCTCTATCCTTATCTTTTGGGTCCTGAAATTTATGTTGTTAGCATAAAGAATCTGGAGGGAAGAGTTGTGTCAAGACCAGCAGGCCCAAATTAACTACTCTAATATTTGGTTTCTGGTCTACAAATAACACCAGTTTATTGCAGAGGTGACACATGTAATATATGGCAAGCTCTTTGTAGACTGTTAAAGGCTATACAATGTGAAAAATTGCTATTGTGCTTGATTAAAAGGTATTGTACCTAGAAGGTGACATTTTGTTTTTCTAATAATCAGTTTCCAAATTATCTCTAAAGAGAAAAATAAATGAGTCTATAAATATATATCCTAACGTAATATGTGTGTTTGTGTATATGTACACAAACATTCACTTAGACTCTTATTTTCTACCATAGAATGATGTGCTGAAGTGGTTTTGTGTGAATTCTAACAATAAAGTTTTTTTTTAAAAGCATGATTCCATTGTGTTGTATGCAGTCCTGACAATGGGTATAGAGGCCAGCACAGAAATTCAACAACATTTATCCACAAAGCATGCCAAAAATCAATTTGGAGGATGGGTAAGAAATCATAAAGGGCAAAAGGAAACTGCACGCTTGCACACATTAGGAGTGTTGTCAATGTTAGATCTCTGCCACCCAGCTGATCTCGCACATCTGCTATCTTCCTTTTTTTGGTGCTGAGTAACAGGATGTTTAACTTCCTAGCAACAATCTTGCCCTGGCCAGGCATATGGGAGACAAATCATTCTGAGTGTGTAGGTTAGAGAGAGCAAATGCCCCTCTGTTAATAGGCTTCCAAATCTGTAAGGTTAATAAGTGTATGGCTTTCTTTAAGAAAGTGTTTTACAAAGATAAAATCATCGACACCTTTAGTAATGCATGCATCTGGGTCAAAACTGACAATGGGACTGGAAAGGCACTCACTCCCTAATTATCAACTAAATGATTTTTTTTTTTTTAAGTTTGGGAGACTAGTTGTGAGATGTAAGTGGCAGAAGAGGTCTCAAAGGTTGTCTTGTCCAACTCCGTCATTGAACTCCAGAAAGGAAAAACAACATACCCTAGTTCACATAGCTAGTGACTGAGCTTTTTCCAGAACCAGAGGCTTTTGTCCCCTTAATTGGTGACCTATTTACCTCAAAGCAGCCTGTCTAATACCAGCAAGTGATGAACATCCAAGCCTTTATCTTTTGCCTTGTGGGTTTTCTCTGCTGGATTTTGATGTCCTCCCTGGCACCCTTCTGGCCACAGGCCCACAATGTTATTCTTACATGTGTTCAGATAAGCATGATCGTTTTAATACAAACATCAGCACATGTAGCAATTTTAAAGCTGATTTGACTAATTTATGTCATTGTTCCACTTCATTAAAGTGAAATCACCAGAAGTGAATACCTAGGCACTTATGCACACTTGTTGCAATGAATCCTCTTGACAGTTATCCTCTGACCCATGGAACTGGAGAGAATGTTCATTGCAGCACACTTACTCCAAGAGTTTTGTGCATTTTCCCCTGTTTAATACTTAGCCAAATATCTTATTAATTTGTGTCTTTTCTGAGTGTTTTATCCTTTAGTTTTATTTTTGGGTCTTTCCCTTGCCATGGGCTGGTCACCAAGGCAGCCGGTATGTCTAGTAGGTGGAGGGAACAGATTGTGAAGGAGTGAGTAGAGGGACCTTTGGAGAGAAACAGTATTGTTTCCAGGATTGAATCTAAGGCATGCGGCTTAATTTATAAATTGTCTTTTTATTTGTTATCTACCTAAAGGAATATGTTGTACATGTAGGACACATTGTATGTTTTCAAGATTCCTTGAATCAAAGAATGAAAAAAAATAGGCATACCTCTTTTTACTGCACTTCACTTTATTGTGCTTTGCAGATACTGCATTGTTTGCAAATTGGAGGTTCTTGGCAATGCTGCATGAAGCAAGTCTATTGCTGCCATTATTCCAACAGCATGTGCTCACTTTGGGTCTCTGTGTTACATGTTGGGAATTCTCAAAATATTTCTAACTTTCTCATTATTATTATACCTGTTTTGGTCATTTGTGATCAGTGATCTTTGATGTTACTATTATCATTGTTTTGGGCACCACCAACCACAACGAGATAAGACAGCACATTTAATGAATAAATGTTCTGCCTATTCGGACTGCTCCACCAGCCAGACATTCCCCCATCTATCTCCCTCTCCTTGGGTCTCCCTATCACCTGAGGCACTACAATATGGAAACGAGGCCAATTAATAACCCTACATTGGCCTCTAAGTATTCAAGTGAAAGGAAGAGCTGCACAAATCTCACTTTAAATCAAAAACTAGAAATAATGAAGCTTAGTGAGGAAGGCATGTCAAAAACCAAGATGGGCCAAAAGCTAATCCTCTTGCACTAAACAGCTAGTAAAGTTGTGAATGCAAAGAAAAAATTATTAAAGAAAATTAAAAGTGTCACTCAAGTGAGCACACACATGATAAAGGAAAACAGCCTTATTGCTGATAGGGAGAAAGTTTTAGTGGTCTGGATAAAAGAGGGAGAAAGTTTTAGTGGTCTGGATAAAAGATGAAACCAGTAACTGTATTTCTTTAAGCCAAATCATAATCCAGAGCAAGGTCGTAACTCTCTTCAATTCTAGGAAGCTGAGAGAGGTGAGGAAGCTGCAGAGGACAGTTTGAAGCTAGCAGGAGTTGGTTAATAAGTTTAAAGAAAGAAGTCTCTGTAACATAAAAGTGCAAAGTGAAGCAGCAAGTGCAGATGTGAAGCTGCAGTAAGTTATCCAGAAGATCTAGTTAACATAATTGATGAATATGGCTACACTAAACAGATTTTCCATGTTGCCAAAGTGCCTTCTATTGGAAGAAGATGTCATCCTGTACTTTCATAGCTAGAAAGAAGTCAATGTCTGGCTTTGAAGCTTCAAAGGGCAAGCTGACTCTCTTCTTAGGAGCTAATGCAGCTGCTGACTTTGAGTGGAAGCAAATGCTCATTTACCATTCTGAAAACCCTAAGGCCCTTGAGAACTGTGCTAAATCTATTCTGCCTGTGCTCTATCAATGGGACAACAAAGCCTGGATGACAGCACATGTGTTTACAGTACAGGTTACTGAACATTTTCTTCCATTTTACTTCAAGTTCTGGGAAACATGGGCAGAACGTGCAGGTTTGTTACATAGGTATACATGTGACATGGTGGTTTGCTCCACCCATCAACCCGTCATCTACACTAGGTATTTCTCCTAATGTTATCCCTCTCCTTGCCCCTAACCCCCTGACAGGCCCCAGTGTGTGATGTTCCCCTCCCTGTGCCCATATGTTCTCATTGTTCAACTCCCACCTATGAGTGAGAACATGTGGTGTTTGGTTTTCTGTTCCTGTGTTAGTTTGTTGAGAATGATGGTTTACAGCATCATTCATGGCCCTGCAAAGGACAAGAACTCATCCTTTTTTATGGCTGCATGGTATTCCACGGAGTATATGTGCCACACTTTCTATCCATTCTATCATTGATGGGCATTTGGGTTGGTTCCAAGTCTTTGCTATTGTGAATAGTGCTGCAATAAATATATGTGTGCATGTATCTTTATAGTAGAATGATTTATAATCCTTTGGAATATATACCCAGTAATGGGATTGTTGGGTCAAATGGTATTTCTGGTTCTAGATCCTTGAGGAATCACCACATTGTCTTCTACAATAGTTGAACTAATTTACCCTCCCACCAACAGTGTAAAAGGGTTCCTATTTCTCCACATCCTCTCCAGCACCTATTGCTTCCTGACTTTTTAATGATTGCCATTCTAACTGGCATGAAACAGTATCTCATTGTGGTTTTGATTTGCATTTCTCTAATGACCAGTGATGATGAGCTTTTTTTTATGTTTGTTGGCCATATAAATATCTTCTTTTGAAAAGTGTCTATTCATATCCTTTGCCCACTTTTTGAAGGGATTGTTTGTTTGTTTTTTCCTGTAAATTTGTTTAAGTTCCTTGTAGATTCTGGATATTAGCCCTTTGTCAGATGGATAGATTGCAAAAATTTTCTCTCATTCTGTAGGTTGCCTGTTCACTCTGAAGGCAGTTTCTTTTGCTGTGCAGAAGCTCTTTAGTTTAATTAGATCCCATTTGTCAATTTTGGCTTTTGTTGCAATTGCTTTTGGTTTTTTAGTCATGAAGTCCTTGCCCATGCCTATGTCCTGAATGGTATTGCCTAAGTTTTCTTCTAGGGTTTTTATGGTTTTAGGTCTAACATTTAAGTCTTTAATCCATCTTGAGTTAATTTTTGTATAAGGTATAAGGAAGGGGTCCAGTTTCAGTTTTTTGCATATGGATAGCCAGTTTTCTCAACACCATTTATTAAACAGGGAATCATTTCCCCATTGCTTGCTTTTGTTAGGTTTGTCAAAGATCAGATGGTTGTAGATGTGTGGCGTTATTTCTGAGGCCTCTTTTCTGTTCCATTGGTCTATGTATCTGTTTTGTTACCAGTAACATGCTGTTTTGGTTACTGTAGCCTTGTAGTATGCTTTGAAGTCTGGTAGTGTGATGCTTCCAGCTTTATACTTTTTGCTTAGGATAGTCTTGGCTATGCGGGCTTTTTTTTGGTTCCATATGAAATTTGTAGTAGTTTTTCCTAATTCTGTGAAGAAAGTCAATGGTAGTTTAGTGGGGATAGCATTGAATCTATACATTACTTTGGGCAGTATGGCCATTTTCACGATATAGATTTTTCTTTTTTTGTTGTGTCTCTGCCAGGTTTTGGTTACAGGATGATGCTGGCTTCATAAAATGAGTTAGGGAGGAGTCCCTCCTTTTCTGCTATTTGGAATAGTTTCAGAAGGAATGGTACCAGCTTCTCTTTTTACCTCTGGTAGAATTTGGCTGTGAATCCTTCTGGTCCTGGGCTTTTTTTGGTTGGTAAGCTATTAATTACTGCCTCAATTTCAGAACTTGTTATTGGTCTATTCTGGGATTCGACTTCTTCCTGGTTTAGTCTTAGGAGGGTCTGTGTGTCCAGGAATTTATCCATTTCTTCTTGATTTTCTAGTTTATTTGCACAGAGGTGTTTGTAGTATTTTCTGATGGTAGTTTGTATTTCCGTGGGATCAGTATTGATATCCCTTTTATCATTTTTATTGTGTCTATTTGATTCTTCTCTCTTTTCTTCTTTATTAGCCTGGCTAGTGATCTATTTTGTTAATCTTTTCAAAAAGTCATCTCCTGGATTCATTGATTTTTTGAAGGGGTTTTCTTGTCTCTATCTCTTTCAGTTCTGCTCTGATCTTAGTTATTTCTTGTCTTCTGCTAGCTTTTGAATTTCTTTGCTCTTGCTTCTCTAGTTCTTTTAGTTGTGATGTTAAGGTGTTGATTTTAGATCTTTCCTGCTTTCTTCTGTGGGCATTTAGCTGTGTAAATTTCTCTCTAAAGACTGCTTTAGCTGTGTCCCAGAGATTCTGGTACATTGTGTCTTCGTTCTCATTGGTTGCAAAGAACATCTTTACTTCTGCCTTCATTTTGTTATTTACCCAGTAGTCACTCAGGAGCAGGTTGTTCAGTTTCCATGTAGTTGTGCAGTTTTGAGTTAGTTTCTTAATCCTGAGCTCTAATTTGATTGCACTGTGGTCTGAGAGACTGTTTGTTATGATTTCTGTTCTTTTGCATTTGCTGAAGAGTGTTTTACTTCCAATTATGTGGTCAATTTTAGAATAAGTGTGATGTAGTGCTGAGAAGAATGTATATTCTGTTGATTTGGGGTGGAGAGTCCTGTAGATGTCTGTTAGGTCTGCTTGGTCCAGTGCTGAGTTCAAGTCCTGAATATCCTTGTTAATTTTCTGTCTCATTGATCTGTCTAATATTGACAGTGGGGTGTTAAAATCTCCCACTATTATTGTGTTGGAGTCTAAATCTCTTTGTAGGTCTCTAAGAACTTGCTCTATGAATCTGGGTGCTCTTGTATTGGTTGCATATATATTTAGGATAGTTAGCTCTTCTTGTTGGATTGATCCTTTTACGATTATGTAATGGCCTTCTTTATCTCTTTTGATCTTTGTTGGTTAAAAGTCTGTTTTTTCAGAGACTAGGATTGCAACTCCTGCTTTTTCTTTGCTTTCCATTTGCTTGGTAAATCTTCCTCCATCCCTTTATTTTGAGCCTATGTGTGTCTTTGCACATGAGGTGGGTCTCCTGAATACAGCACACTGATGTGTCTTGAGTCTTTATCCAATTTTCCAGTCTGTGTCATTTAATTGGGGCATTTAGCCCATTTATATTTAAGGTAAATATTGTTATGTGTGAATTTGATCCTATCATTATGATGTTAGCTGGTTATTTTGCCCATTAGTTGATGCAGTTTCTTCATAGCGTCAATGGTCTTTACATTTTGGTTTGTTTTTGCAGTGGCTGGTACTGGTTTTTCCTTTCCATAGTTAGTGCTTCCTTCAGGAGCTCTTGTAAGGCAGGCCTGGTAGTGACAAAATCCCTCAGCATTTGCTTGTCTATAAAGGATTTTATTTCTCCTTCACTTATGAAGCTTAGTTTGGCTGAATATGAAATTCTGGGTTGAAATTCTTTTCTTTGAGAATGTTGAATATTGGCCCCCACTGCCTTCTGGCTTGTAGTGTTTCTGCAGACAGATCCACTGTTATTCTGATGGGCTTCCCTTTGTGGGTAACCTGACCTTTCTCTCTGGCTGCCCTTAACATTTTTTCCTTCATTTCAACCTTGGTGGATCTGACAATTATGTGTCTTTGGCCTGCTCTTCTCGAGGAATATCTTTGTGATGTTCTCTGTATTTCCTGAATTTGAATGTTGGCCTCTCTTGCTAGGTTGGGGAAGTTCCTCTGGATAATATCCTGAAGAGTGTTTTCCAACTTGGTTCCATTCTACCTGTCATTTTCAGGTACACCAATCAAATGTAGGCTTGGTCTTTTCACATAGTCCCATATTTCTTAGAGGCTTTGTTCATTCCTTTTCATTCTTTTTTCTCTAATCTTGTCTTCATGCTTTATTTCATTAAGTTGATCTTCAATCCTTGATATCCTTTCTTCTGCTTGATCTATTCAGCTATTGATACTTGTATATGCTTCACGAAGTTCTCATGCTGTGTTTTTCAGCTCCATTAGGTCATTTATGCTCTTCTATAAACTGGTTATTCCAGTTAACAACTCCTCTAACCTTTTACCAAGATTTTTAGCTTCCTTGCATTGGGTTAGAACATGCTCCTTTAGCTTGGATGAGTTTGTTTATACCCACCTTCTAAAGCCTATTTCTGTCAATTCGTGAAACTCCATCCAGTGAATTCTCCAACCAGTTTTATTCCCTTGCTGGCAAGGAGTTGTGATCCTTTGGAGAAGAAGAGGTATTCTTGGCTTTGGAATTTTGAGCCCTTTTGTGCTGGTTTTTCCTCATCTTCTTGGATTTTTCTACCTTTGTTCTTTGCTGTTGGTGACCTTAGGATGGAATTTTTGCGTGGTTATCCTTTTTGTTGATGTTGATGTTATTGCTTTCTATTTGTTAGTTTTCCTTCTAACACTCAGGCCCCTCTTCTGCAGGTCTGCTGGAGTTTGCTGGGGGTCCACCAGACCCTGTTTGCCTGAGTGTCACCAGTGGAGGCTGCAGAGCAGCAAAGGTTGCTGCCTGCTCCTTCCTCTGGAAACTTCATCCCAGAGGGACACCCACCAGATGCCAGGTGGAGTTCTCTTGTATGAGGTGTCTGATGATCCTTGCTGGGAGGTGTCTCCCCATCAGGAGGCACAGGGGTAAAGGACCCACTTGAGGAGGCAGTCTGTCCCTTAGCAGAGCTCGAGCACTGTGCTGGGAGATCTGCTACTCTCTTTAGAGCCAGCGTCTAAAGACCCCTAGAGCTGCATCACAGCTGCCCCTTCCCCCAGGTGCTCTGTCCCAGAGAGATGGAAGTTTTATCTATAAGCCCCTGACTGGGGCTGCTGTCTTTCTTTCAGAGATGCCCTGCCCAGAGAGGAGGAATCTAGAGAGACAGTCTGGCTACAGAGGCTTTGCTGAGATGCTTTGGGCTCCTCCCAGTCCGAACTTCCAGGTGGCTTTGTCTACACAGTGAGGGGAAAATCGCCTACTCAAGCCTCAGTGATGGTGGAAGCCCCTCCCAGTACCAAGCTCCATTGTCCCAGGTCGACTTTAGACTGCTGTGCTGGCAGAGAGAATTTCAAGCCAGTGGATCTTAGCTTCCTAGGCTCTGTGGGCGTGGGATCCACTGAGATAGACCACTTGGCTCCCTGGCTTCAGCCCCCTTTCCAAGGCAGTGAACGGTTCAGTCTCACTGATATTCCAGGCACACGGGGCAGGGGCGGGGGGGGCGGCGCGGGGAAACACCTCCTGCAGCTAGCTCGGTGTCTGCCCAAACAACCGCCCAGTTTTGTGCTTGAAACCCAGGACCCTGGTGGTGTAGGCATCTGAGGGAATCTCCTGGTCTGTGGGCTGCAAAGACCATGGGAAAAGCATAGTATGTGGGCCAGATAGCTCTGTCCCTCATGGCACAGTCCCTAAGGGCTTCCCTCGGCTAGGGGAGGGACTTCCTCACCCCTTGTGCTTCCCGGGTGAGGTGACGCCCCACCCTGCTTCTGCTCACCCTCCATGGGCTGCACCCACTGTCTAACCAGTCCCAGTGAGATGAATCAGGTACCTCAGTTGGAAATGCAGAAATAACCTACCTTCTGCATTGGTGTCACTGGGAGCTACAGACTGGAGCTGTTCTTGTTTGGCCATTTTGCTCGGGGATCCCTCAAGTTTACTGAACAATTGTTGTATCTCAGTCCTCACCTTACTTGGCTCATAGCAGCATTTGAATTGAGTTTCCCCTCCTCCTTGACACATGCTTTTCTCTTGGCACTGAGAATATCAACCTCTCTTGATTTTCCTTTACCTTATTTATCATTCCTTTTCATCCTCTGGCTGATTTCATGTTCACAACCTCCACATTTTTGAATGACCCAGCGCTCAGTCCTTGGTTCTTTTCTCTTTCTTAATACACGTTCATTCCCTCATTGATCTCATCAAGGCCTGTAACTAATGACTCCTTAAATCATTTCGAGAGCCTGGACCTCTCCTTTGAACACCCAGCTGTTTATCCAACTACTTACTTATATTTCAACTTGAACATAGCATGGGCATCTCAAATTTACATGACTAAAAGTCAGTTCTTCTCTGCCCTCTTTCCATTTCAGCTAATGGCAACTCCATTTTTCCAGTTATTCAGGTCAAATCCTTGGAGTCATCCCCAACTCAGATGAGGGCAATACTCTAGGTCACGGTGGAGACCCAGGGTAAAAGAAACCTGTGTTCCTGAATGGACCATAGTTGCCTGGCAAGGCTGCTCCACTCACCTGTGGAATGCTGCATGATAAGAAAGAAGTTCTAAATGATGTAAGCCTCTGTATTTTTGGATCTCTTTGTCACAGCAGCTTACTTAACTTCTGCACTAACCAATACAGAAGGTGAAAAATTAAGTTGTGAATGGAGGAACCATTCTTTCAAGAGGTCTGAGCATGTGGGAAGGAGAGAAATAAATAAAGCTATTGCTGGAATGTTTTATTAAAAAGATTGTGAGAAAACCTGCTCCTAAAAATCTTCTAAAATACAGTCAGCTCACTGAGATACAAACCTATTCTCTGACATAGTAAATTTGCTGAATGTCCACTGGAGGATCCAAGTCACTCAGGGCCTTAGGGTCAGAAGATGGACCTAGGAGGGCTTAAATAACTGAGTCCCATTTATAACACCATTCCTTCTTCTTGAGGTAATATACACTGTAAATTTTTAAACAATGAATTGACGACTCAATTGTACGAAGCACAGACTGAACTATTGTCTTCCCTTGTTATCTGTTGAGGATTGTTTCCAGGACCCCCCCAGGGATAGCAAAATCTATGGATGCTCAAGTCCCTTATACAAAATGTTGTAGAATTTGCATGCAACATATGCATATCCTTCCATATACTTTAAATCATCTCTAGGTTACTTCTAATACATAATATAATGTAAGTGCTATGTAAATAGTTGTTATACTGTATTTTAAGGGAATAATAACAAAAAAAGTCTGTACGTGTTTGGTAGAGATGTAATTTTTTTCTAATATTTCCAATCCATGATTGGTTGAACTCATATATGCAGAACCCACGAAAGTAACCCACAGATATGGAGGGCTAACCATATTTAGTTTTTAAATGGGCAAGATTTTATATTGAACCATCCATGCTCATAGTTATCTCTTATAACAAAAAACATGCACCCATAGTGATGTATGTAGGGATCTATGTAGGGATGATGAGAATAACAAAGGGAAATAAGAATGCCAATAACTCCAAGTTATTAAACACTCAAAATGTGGTCCTGGTCTATGTAGGTGCTGCTTGCAGAAACCTGCAAACCAGGTCTTACCTCTTAAACCAATTGATCATAATATTCCTACTGTTAGTTGCTTTCTGAATTTTTTTCCTGGTAACCTGGATCAGTGTGTGGCTTGGTCTCACATAGGTCTGAGCTTGATGGTTTGTGCTTCCCTGGCCATTTGCTTCTATGGAGGCACAGTCACAAAAATCAAAGTAGGCAGGAATCTTTGGCTTGCATGCCAAAGTCTATCTTCATGTATAGAAAACACAAATATAGTCTTTGTGCATATTGCAGAATCAAATGATTTGACCCCCAGATTATTACACTGAGGCAACTTGAACAGTAAAGTTCTAAAAATCTATCAGCCTAATAACTAAAGTGTAGCTTACATTGGATTTTGGAACATGTAAAATATTCTAAATGTTCACTGTGTGCACCCAGTGAAGAATTCTGTATGCTTGCTGGAATGTCAGGTGGAGGTCATCTTGAGAACCTGAATGCCAACAGGTTCTTGATGGAAGATGACCCATTGTACCTGGGATAGGTATCCATAGGCCCAAGGAGACAAGTTCAGATGTTGTATCTATAATTCTCAGTAATTCTCAGTAAATTTTTTTTAGCCTGACTATGAGGACATGTAGAGCTCGCATTTGAAAAGACTATACATACTAGCTCTGAGGTGGTGGTGCCTCTCCCCATGATGAGTACATGACAGATATTTCTGAGCTTTTTTGGCCAAATTTAACCACACCAGCCAACAGCATCAAAAACAGGCTTTTTGAGGCCTGTATTAGTCAGGGTTCTCCAAAGAAACAGAGGCAGTAGGAGATATCAGTGTTTATTTTTATCTATATCCAATATATAGAGAGGTTTATTATAAGGAATTGACTCATGCAGCTATGGAGGCTAAGAAGTCCCATGATCCGCCATCTGTAAGCTGGAGACCTAGGAAAGCTGATTGTGTAATTTAGTCCCAGTTCAAAGGCCTGAGAACCAGGGGAGGAAATGGTATAAATCCCAGCTTGAGGGCTGGAGAATATGAGAGGAGATGAACAGGGGGCAAATTCCTCCTTCCTCTGCCTTTTGTTCTATTCAGGCCCTTAATGGATTAGATGATGCCCACCCACATTGGGGGAGGGCAATCTACTTTGCTGAGTCCATGGATTCAAATCCTAATTTCATCCAGAAACACCCTCACAGGTATACCCAGAAGCAATGTTCCATTTGGGTATCCTATGGCCTGTCAAGTTGACACATAAAAGTAACTATCTCAAGGTTATTCTCTTTCACTGAAGCTGTAACATGGCCCAAGTTAGAGACAGATGGCCATTGATGGCCCTCCTAAGACCAGAAGAAGCTACATTTAGATCCCACAGCCACATTTACAGAAAAGGGAGATTATATAGGTGGATCCATTCGTCTTCAAAAGAAGATTGCTAATTTCTCCCATTACTTAATTTACCAAGCAAAATGAAGGAAAAACCCCAAGTTGACCTGTAGACATATCTAAAGTCTTAGGTGAGTATTTTCCTGGAAGAGGTGCAGGACTTCACCCATGAGCTCAAAGAGCCACCTGGTTCTTCAGCAATATCAGGAGGGCACGTTGACCCTAGCATTTCAGATACCTTCCCAGGACCAAAGGAGGCCCATATGAGTGTCCAAGTTTACTGCCAGGTGCAATTGTTAGGATTCAGTAATTCTCAAATATTTTGCCCACCACCTACAGTCAGCAATACATTTAACCTAGTAACCTCATACATATACCCATTCTTTTGTATATATTTAACTGAATCAAACTTTTCATGCAACATTACCTTCTCTTACTATGTGTAAGGCACTCTGATATTTTCTGTTCTATTATTTAAAAATTTTTAGTTCAATGCACTGATTTTACAAAGTACTAGTAGATAGTAACATGCAGTTTAAAAAGGACATATTTTATTGATAAAATGGATTCCTATAGGTTAGCCCACTAAAAGTTGGGGAATTTTTCTTATTGGTTTATAGATGTAGCTTCCCCTTCTTTAAAATTTATAAAGTGACAATACTCTTCTGTGAAATCTGAAAATGTTTATCCTGTATATAACTAAGTGGCATTCAGCAGCCTTGTATTTGGCTGGCTTGGACCCAACCCCGCCCACCCAGCTTTGCAGAAGGAGAACCCAGGAGATGAGAGATGAGGAAGAGGAAGGGGGTGTCAATAAGGTCATGGCAAAACAGAAGCTAGGAGTAGAATCTGGCCCCCAGGACTGGAAACAGGTACCAAGCATGCCTTTCAGAAGGTTCTAGAAAGGAGGAAGAGATAAAAAGGGGACAAGAAGAAGAAATATCAGAAAGAGCCTGGCACCTTTTCCCCACTCCTTCTTTTACTCTCCAACCCTAGCAACTTGGTCTTAGAGGGTCACACGTTTCTGTGCTATCACAGCCTCTCCTGGCTCTCCTGGGAGGTTTTCTTCTTGGTTCCCTGAATCCCCACCAAGAAGACATAATTTATAGACAAGAGGAGGCTCTCTGACTCCTGGACCCATGCTCCTTCATGAGCATGTACTGTGAGCCCTCCAGCTTCTCGGAGATTCATGTTTTAAAGGCAGCATGAGGGGCTGCAGACAGCCACACAGGGATACCATGGCTGGGTCATAAAGGTGATTCTAAGCCACCAGGGAAAAATTTTAAATACATTTAGCCCTTGAGACAATGAGAAGAAACAGGAACCAAACTTTTCAATATTTTCACAAAAGTGTGTTAAAATTAAAGTCTTGGGAGGAGCCAAGATGGCCGAATAGGAACAGCTCCGGTCTACAGCTCCCAGCGTGAGCGACGCAGAAGACGGGTGATTTCCGCATTTCCATCTGAGGTACCGGGTTCATCTCACTAGGGAGTGCCAGACAGTGGGCGCAGGCCAGTGTGTGTGCGCACCGTGCGCGAGCCGAAGCAGGGCGAGGCATTGCCTCACCTGGGAAGCGCAAGGGGTCAGGGAGTTCCCTTTCTGAGTCAAAGAAAGGGGTGACGGACGCACCTGGAAAATCGGGTCACTCCCACCCGAATATTGCGCTTTTCAGACCGGCTTAAGAAACGGCGCACCACGAGACTATATCCCACACCTGGCTCAGAGGGTCCTACGCCCACGGAATCTCGCTGATTGCTAGCACAGCAGTCTGAGATCAAACTGCAAGGCGGCAACGAGGCTGGGGGAGGGGCGCCCGCCATTGCCCAGGCTTGCTTAGGTAAACAAAGCAGCCGGGAAGCTCGAACTGGGTGGAGCCCACCACAGCTCAAGGAGGCCTGCCTGCCTCTGTAGGCTCCACCTCTGGGGGCAGGGCACAGACAAACAAAAAGACAGCAGTAACCTCTGCAGACTTAAGTGTCCCTGTCTGACAGCTTTGAAGAGAGCAGTGGTTCTCCCAGCACGCAGCTGGAGATCTGAGAACGGGCAGACTGCCTCCTCAAGTGGGTCCCTGACCCCTGACCCCCGAGCAGCCTAACTGGGAGGCACCCCCCAGCAGGAGCACACTGACACCTCACACGGCAGGGTATTCCAACAGACCTGCAGCTGAGGGTCCTGTCTGTTAGAAGGAAAACTAACAACCAGAAAGGACATCTACACCGAAAACCCATCTGTACATCACCATCATCAAAGACCAAAAGTAGATAAAACCACAAAGATGGGGAAAAAACAGAACAGAAAAACTGGAAACTCTAAAACGCAGAGCGCCTCTCCTCCTCCAAAGGAACGCAGTTCCTCACCAGCAACAGAACAAAGCTGGATGGAGAATGATTTTGACGAGCTGAGAGAAGAAGGCTTCAGACGATCAAATTACTCTGAGCTACGGGAGGACATTCAAACCAAAGGCAAAGAAATTGAAAACTTTGAAAAAAATTTAGAAGAATGTATAACTAGAATAACCAATACAGAGAAGTGCTTAAAGGAGCTGATGGAGCTGAAAACCAAGGCTCGAGAACTACGTGAAGAATGCAGAAGCCTCAGGAGCTGATGCGATCAACTGGAAGAAAGGGTATCAGCAATGGAAGATGAAATGAATGAAATGAAGCGAGAAGGGAAGTTTAGAGAAAAAAGAATAAAAAGAAATGAGCAAAGCCTCCAAGAAATATGGGACTATGTGAAAAGACCAAATCTACGTCTGATTGGTGTACCTGAAAGTGATGTGGAGAATGGAACCAAGTTGGAAAACACTCTGCAGGATATTATCCAGGAGAACTTCCCCAATCTAGCAAGGCAGGCCAACGTTCAGATTCAGGAAATACAGAGAACGCCACAAAGATACTCCTCGAGAAGAGCAACTCCAAGACACATAATTGTCAGATTCACCAAAGTTGAAATGAAGGAGAAAATGTTAAGGGCAGCCAGAGAGAAAGGTCGGGTTACCCTCAAAGGAAAGCCCATCAGACTAACAGCGGATCTCTCGGCAGAAACCCTACAAGCCAGAAGAGAGTGGGGGCCAATATTCAACATTCTTAAAGAAAAGAATTTTCAACCCAGAATTTCATATCCAGCCAAACTAAGCTTCATAAGTGAAGGAAAAATAAAATACTTTATAGACAAGCAAATGCGGAGAGATTTTGTCACCACCAGGCCTGCCCTAAAAGAGCTCCTGAAGGAAGCGCTAAACATGGAAAGGAACAACCGGTACCAGCCGCTGCAAAATCATGCCAAAATGTAAAGACCATCGAGACTAGGAAGAAACTGCATCAACTAATGAGCAAAATCACCAGCTAACATCATAATGACAGGATCAAATTCACACATAACAATATTAACTTTAAATATAAATGGACTAAATTCTGCAATTAAAAGACACAGACTGGCAAGTTGGATAAAGAGTCAAGACCCATCAGTGTGCTGTATTCAGGAAACCCATCTCACATGCAGAGACACACATAGGCTCAAAATAAAAGGATGGAGGAAGATCTACCAAGCAAATGGAAAACAAAAAAAGGCAGGGGTTGCAATCCTAGTCTCTGATAAAACAGACTTTAAACCAACAAAGATCAAAAGAGACAAAGAAGGCCATTACATAATGGTAAAGGGATCAATTCAACAAGAGGAGCTAACTATCCTAAATATTTATGCACCCAATACAGGAGCACCCAGATTCATAAAGCAAGTCCTCAGTGACCTACAAAGAGACTTAGACTCCCACACATTAATAATGGGAGACTTTAACACCCCACTGTCAACATTAGACAGATCAACGAGACAGAAAGTCAACAAGGATACCCAGGAATTGAACTCAGCTCTGCACCAAGCAGACCTAATAGACATCTACAGAACTCTCCACCCCAAATCAACAGAATATACATTTTTTTCAGCACCACACCACACCTATTCCAAAATTGACCACATAGTGGGAAGTAAAGCTCTCCTCAGCAAATGTAAAAGAACAGAAATTATAACAAACTATCTCTCAGACCACAGTGCAATCAAACTAGAACTCAGGATTAAGAATCTCACTCAAAGCCGCTCAACTACATGGAAACTGAACAACCTGCTCCTGAATGACTACTGGGTACATAAGGAAATGAAGGCAGAAATAAAGATGTTCTTTGAAACCAACGAGAACAATGACACCACATACCAGAATCTCTGGGACGCATTCAAAGCAGTGTGTAGAGGGAAATTTATAGCACTAAATGCCTACAAGAGAAAGCAGGAAAGATCCAAAATTGACACCCTAACATCACAATTAAAAGAACTAGAAAAGCAAGAGCAAACACATTCAAAAGCTAGCAGAAGGCAAGAAATAACTAAAATCAGAGCAGAACTGAAGGAAATAGAGACACAAAAAACCCTTCAAAAAATCAATGAATCCAGGAGCTGGTTTTTTGAAAGGATCAACAAAATTGATAGACCGCTAGCAAGACTAATAAAGAAAAAAAGAGAGAAGAATCAAATAGACACAATAAAAAATGATAAAGGGGATATCACCACCGATCCCACAGAAATACAAACTACCATCAGAGAATACTACAAACACCTCTACGCAAATAAACTAGAAAATCTAGAAGAAATGGATACATTCCTCGACACATACACTCTCCCAAGACTAAACCAGGAAGAAGTTGAATCTCTGAATAGACCAATAACAGGCTCTGAAATTGTGGCAATAATCAATAGTTTACCAACCAAAAAGAGTCCAGGACCAGATGGATTCACAGCCGAATTCTACCAGAGGTACAAGGAGGAACTGGTACCATTCCTTCTGAAACTATTCCAATCAGTAGAAAAAGAGGGAATCCTCCCTAACTCATTTTATGAGGCCAGCATCATTCTGATACCAAAGCCGGGCAGAGACACAACCAAAAAAGAGAATTTTAGACCAATATCCTTGATGAACATTGATGCAAAAATCCTCAATAAAATACTGGCAAACCGAATCCAGCAGCACATCAAAAAGCTTATCCACCATGATCAAGTGGGCTTCATCCCTGGGATGCAAGGCTGGTTCAATATACGCAAATCAATAAATGTAATCCAGCATATAAACAGAGCCAAAGACAAAAACCACATGATTATCTCAATAGATGCAGAAAAAGCCTTTGACAAAATTCAACAACCCTTCATGCTAAAAACTCTCAATAAATTAGGTATTGATGGGACGTATTTCAAAATAATAAGAGCTATCTATGACAAACCCACAGCCAATATCATACTGAATGGGCAAAAACTGGAAGCATTCCCTTTGAAAACTGGCACAAGACAGGGATGCCCTCTCTCACCGGTCCTATTCAACATAGTGTTGGAAGTTCTGGCCAGGGCAATCAGGCAGGAGAAGGAA